>NC_000010.11:14403939-14555454 GCF_000001405.40 Homo sapiens | reverse complement strand
TTAAATTATGTCAGTGGGAGTATGATTCCAAGTTCATAATGTCATCACTACTTAATTAAAATAATAGATGTCTTTGTAAGTCTGCTTTTGTTAGATAATATTATTTAATCCAGTAGTCAGTTTTATAATCAATGTTTTTCCTTGAGGTAAAAAAACATCGTATGACTTCAAATTATTAAACAACTTTATAATAACAATGTCCTGTTTCCTGAACATTTATAAATTCAATTTATGTCATTTAGGCTTTATGGGTGCTTTTCTCCAAGTCAAGATTATGACTTTGGTTATAAATCCCTCTGGTTTGAGAAAGTAGTGATTTCTTAATACTTGGAAGATAGTTTTTATAATAATTAGTTGTATATTTATAATGTAAAACAAAGAGCTCAACTGCTTATGACTAATCTGAGCAGGCAGTGTTGTGTACTGCTGCTATGACAACTAATAATTTCGGTCTGACATTGACAGGTAACTTGTTAGACCATAGGAGCTTGCATACTCACAATTGTTCTATATTTGCTTTAAAAAATGCCTGAATCAGTCATCAGATGATGGTGTATTATTGACATATTTTTCATCCACTTGATTAAATGAGCTTTTGGTTGATATACTTCTGTGAACTTCATTGACCACCCATCGCTGCTTCTGCTCACCCACTTTTTTGGTAGAGGATTGGAGGGGATAGCATTTGTCATCTACCTTACACAGGAAAGAAAGGGACAGTGTAACCCTGTTTTGAAATGTTCTGTTGAAACTTATTAGCTGCTTGGTGCTGGTACTTCCTGTTTCCAAAACCAATGTTTATGCAACGCTACACTCCATTGTGAGATTATTTATTGCCTTAAGCAGAACTCCTGGCATGTTTGAGACCCTGCCCCTCTCATTTGTACCAGATCCCCAAGTCTCAACTGGTCCAGTCCATTTCACACCAGCAGTACCAGCCTTCATCCCTCTCCTGCCTCCCTTCTGTTGGGTGGCAAAGACCTTGTTGGGTAAATAAGTTTAATCTAATGGTTCTCCCAGCTCATTCCTCCTGCCCAGTCTGAGTTCCGGCCCTTATGACTCTCTGACTGTCATTGTCTTGGCTTTGAATTACCTGGCACCTTTGCCCTGTCTGAGCAATGCTAGCACTCACCTCCCTTCCTTTAGTAAACCTACTCATGATGGGTGTCATGTTTCTCATGCCTGCAGTGCTGTGAACTGCAGTGCCATAAGGTAGGTGGGAAGTATTCGTGGGGGAGGTGTGTTTGTGGAGTAAGGCAGTGGGAGGGTAGAGGAAAAGGAGATAAAGAAAAAGCCCATTTCTAACTCTCTGAACAGGCGAGGCCAGCTTATCTGAGATGCCTGTGATCAGGTGAGTCCATATCTACTATACATTAATTATATATGACATATGTGTGGCAGTGAGCCTCTTAGGATGGGCCAGAGGCGGCAAACCTTGCAGCAAGCCTGGGAGGTGAAGACAAGGAAAAACGGGCTCAGAAAGCTACCTGAGCCCCCTGAACCGCTTTAAAACGAGTCAGCCTGTTTGAAGCCTGGCCCTCCCATTATTAATTGTTATGAATTTTATGAATTTGGGCAAGTTTCTTAGCCTCTCTGGCCCTCAGAACCTACCTCAGAGTGTTGTAAAAATTCACTGAGATAATGGCAGTTAGGACTGCCCAGCTCAAAGCTAATATTAGTTAAGTAATTATTTTTGTTGTTTTTGCTGCTGAACTAAGGCCAGCTGATATGTGGCAGAGCTGGGCTGAGTTTCTCAGACTCTAAAGCTTGGGCTCCTTCTGCGAGTCATACTATTACTGTTGCCTCATCTGTTTTGGTCAGTATGAAAAGTGCCTCAGTTCTTAGTGTCTCCCCTACTCTTTTTGCCCAGTTTCCTGTGTGGTGGGGTTAAATGGCCCTTGACTGGTTCCTGGTACCAGGGACCAGAGAACTTCCTTCTTACCCATTGTTAATTTGAGCTAAGGGTGTGGAATTTTGTTCAGCTTCTTAGAAAATTATGCAGATAGAATGATTGCTTTGGCATTAAGAAACTTGTTAACTGACTTTCACTATGTTTTTTTTTTAAAGGAGAATGCAGTTGAAACTAATTTTGTGGATAGAGAAACTGTTGGAACTGCTTTACAAAGTATTTTAGTAAGTGTGGGGAAATTTACTGTCTCGGTCATCTTTATTCCTCAGCTTTCATCATGATGTAGGGGAAAAACTTACCTGTGAACAGATATAATTATTGAAGTCATCTTTAATTTGTATTCTCTCCCTCATTCACACACAGGTAAAAAGAGTTGAGATTATTTTTTAACAATTGGAGAAGGTAGTTTAAAGATTAGGTGGAAGAGAAGATGATGTCTTACTATCAGTAATATTAACCCAAATAAAACTGTTTAAATGTTTCCCATTTGGAAGAGATCATGACAGGTGGTATAGAGCAAGCTCATCCAATGTACATTGCTGTTGGACGTTTTTGTGTGCTTTCGCTAGTCTCAAGAGAGCTGCCAAATTACTGTGGCAAGTTTAAGTAAGTGAATTAGGGCAGGATTTTCCAAGCTGCTAGGCAGTCTGTTAGTGGGTCATAAAATTAGTTTAGTGGGTCACAACAAGCATTACAACGAAGTGAAATAATGACTTTTTTTTTTAATGGAGTCTTACTCTGTCACCCAGTACAGTGGTGAGATTTTGGCTCACTGCAACCCTTCCATCTCCCGGGTTCAAGCTTTTCTCGGGCCTCAGCCTCCCAAGTAGCTGGGATTACGAGTGTGTGCCTGGCTAATTTTTGTATTTTTAGTAGAAATGGAGTTTGGCTATGTTGCCCATGCTGGTCTCGAACTCCTGGCCTCAAGTGATCCACCCACCTTGGCCTCCCAAAGTGCTGGGATTACAGGCGTGAGCTACCACGCCTGGCCAAAATAATGAACTTATCACAGTATACAGCATGTTGTAAAGGCTATGTATTTCTCCTGGAAACGTTGACTTCATTTTTTTTTTTCATTGTTGGGTGTGTGTGGGTAGTGGATCACTGTATATAGATAAAGTGCGTTTGAAAGCCTCCGATCTGAGATATTTTAGAAAGTTTATCTGAGTTCTTTAGAGCAAGTCTAATTGTGCAGAGAAGGAAAGTGCTTATAACTGAGTCTTTCTTAGCTGTATTTCCATCACCATTGAGTGGATTCACCGTGACCCATTTTAGGGTTCAGGACTTTGGTCATCACAGTGGCAATGTTTTGCAACATCCTCCTTCCTTCTGTGGTTCCCACCAAGATCTTCCCAAGCATCATTTCTAGGTGGGAGGGTCACACATAGCCATGCCGGTTATCACAGGCAATTACACAGAGTAGATGTGATCACACAGACCGTCCTTTTCAAATTAAAAATGTTTTGTTTCTCTAAGGCTGTCATTTTTCTTTTCTCTACACTAAATAAAATAGTTCACAATCCTTTACAATAGAACTACACCATATGTCACAGAAGGCAGGTCTCCGAGAGGCTAAATGTGTGGCAAAAGTAGACAGGAAGCACAGTCCAACCGCTGTAGGGTTGAAATATGAAAAGCTAGTGTCACAGGCCACCAAGAAGGTTCTGAAGCCTTTTTGGGGGAGAACTGGGGAGAATTTGATAAAGCCAGAAAGGTACAAATAGGGACTATTGAGACTGGCATTTCAGTGGATTAAACTATAGAAGGAGAAAAAGATATTCCTTAACATTGGTGATAATATGTTGTTATCAGGTATAATGATTTATAGTAATGGTAATACAGATATTTTTTTTTCCAGAGCTAATACATTTTGTAAGTGGAAAATAAGGTTTATGTCTTCAATTCTAAAGATTCATAGATGAAATTAGGAAAATAGTGTCCTTAAAAAAAAAAAAAGGAAAATAGTGTCCTTCCTAATTAACATGTCCCATGTACCACTGTGTTTATGTACTTTCTACTATAAACTGAATTTTAAAATCTTGAATAAAGTATACTCACAAATAATTGGAATCTTACTCAGTTTGACATTTGTAAGATTATCGGCCGGGTGAGGTGGCGCACACCTGTAATCCCAGCACTTTGGGAGACCAAGGCGGGCAGATCACCTGAGGTCAGGAGTTTAAGACCAGCCTGGCCAACATGGTGAAACCCCGTCTCTACTGAAAATACAAAAATTAGGCGGGCATGGTGGGCGCCTGTAGTCCCAGCTACTCAGGAGGCTGAGGCAGGAGAATCGCTTAAAACTGGGAGGCAGAGATTGCAGTGAGCCGAACTTCATCTCAAAAAACAAAACAAAACAAAACAAAATTATAAACCAAAATGTAGAGAATGACTTTTAGATTTTGTTCTTTCAACTCTGAGTTGCCTCGGAAAACTTTTAAAAGAATTGTCTCATTTTTCATGGCCTTTGTGCTACATTTTTAAGTACTTAATCCATTTAAGGAGGTAAAACTATCCTACTGTAATTAAGCTGTTCAGATTAATTTTTTTAAGGCATAAAGGAAGTAGTTAGCTATGATGATCTGTATTTTCTTGTTACATAATTATTTTACAATTGTTCCTCTCGAAGTGATGAGTGATTTCCTCTATAACCAGCTGTCAGTAAAAGACAAGTTTTCATTATGAGTATGTTAACGTGTCCTTTGTCCTTGTCCTTTTCATTTAGTTAAAGTAACCAGTAGCTCCTATTTATGTGAACTTGAAAAAGGTACTGTTAAAAAAAGTTCTGACCTTTGTGATAAGAGCTGTGAGTGAAGTCAAAGCTGATAGGATGCTGGGTTCTTGGGTAATGAATCCTGTTACAACAAAAGAAATGAAAGCATGACAACTTGGGTAACTCAGGGAAAGAAGCCGATTTCTCCATTTCATGTGGACTTCGTATCAGGTGGAGCATTTACTTAAGGGGTGCCACGCCACCTTTTTCTGTTCTTTCCCTGAGTCATACTGCTGCTGTAGGATTTAAATCCCTCGATGGTGTGTTGAGACTTTGGGCAAACATCACTTGACCATAGAGTTATTAGGTAGTAACAGACTTGATTGCAATGCAATGAATTGCCAGAGTGAGTAACTTGATGGAGGATATGTATTGGTTCTTGGGGCAAAAGTCCTCATACCTGACAGCCGAGGACTAGAGCTGCAGACTCAGTGGTAGGTGGTGGTTGTTCTCACAGACTTGTGTAGTGGGGAAGGAGTGACTATTAAGGCTTTGTTTTGAGAGAGACAGACAGAGAATTGACTTGAGGATGGACGCTTACAAAGTAGACATGAGATTACTGCAGTAGTCCTAAATGATCCTTAAAAGCATCCTGTTGGAGTCAAGATAAATCGGATCACTTCACTTCTATAGGATCTGGATTATGACTGATGTCTCTGTTCCTCATCACTAAAATGAAGTGGTATTTCTCGAAGGCCTCTTTTAACTCCAGAATTAGATGAATTTTTGAAATGTTGAATATTTTCTAAAACAGCCTCCTTTCCATTCCCGTAAGAAAAACGGTTGTTATGCTCTATAGACATGTGGCACCCGATGTCTGGGTATTTACCAGTGAGCTCTTTGTTTTTAGGCTTTCATCATTCTGTGTTCCTTGTTTGCCAAGTAGGATGCTCACTTGCAGGATGCGGTCATTTTCCCATTCAGCTTTTAAGTTTTCCTGTGTCTGTTACTGTCCATACAGATAGTGAAAGGCTTCAGCTGAGTCCTGTGGGGAGATCACTTCGAGTTTCTGGGTTTGGGTGTGCTGTGATGGGGTGACTGAGATCACTGTCGGTGGTGAATGAACGGTCTCATGGAGCTGGGGTTGCCCTGCTTTTGTTTACTCGTGACTCTACAGGGCAGCCTGTGGGAAAATGGCAAGGCTTGGCGTCCTGGAACCACAAGCCTCCAGAGGGAGTTGAATTAATGTGCAGAGTTGAATCAGGGAAAGTTCAGAGGCAGTGTAGTTTACTCCCTTATTCCAGTACCCACACTCACTACAAATGTGTTTACATTTAAACTTTTGCCAAAGCCCCCTTAGTTTAAAAGGGAGGCTTCACATAAATGGAAAAGCTGAGGCCAAAAGGCCTAAACTTCTCTCATCTTTATTGCTTATTGCAGCTTTTATTATAGATGCTGCGAGTACTCAGCACTTCTAAGAAACTCCGATTGCTCTTGTTTCCCTTTCAGCTTGGAGCTGGGATCCAGAGTAGTTAACTGAGGGGCCTCGCAAGCCCCTTGTCAGGAGGATGGCCTGCCTTTGAAGGCAGTTGACTCTTGTATGTGTCTTAGTCTCTTTAGGCTGCCATAACAGATGCCACAGACTGGGTGGCTTAAACAATAGATGTTGGTTTCCTCACACTTGTGGAGGCTAGAAGTCCTAGATCAAGGTGCCAGCAGATTGGGTTCCTGGCTTGCAGACAGCCGTCTTCTCATTGTGTCCTCACATGGCATTGAGGCTGGAGAGTACAGGGAGAGAGATTGAGAAAGAAGGAGCTCTGGTCTCTTTTCCTCTTCTTATAAGGACACTGATCCCATCATGTGGGCTGCAGCCTCATGACCTCATCTAAACCTAATTACCTTTCAAAGGTCCCACCTCCAAATACTGTCACTTTGGGGGTTAGGGCTTCAACATAGGAATTTTGGGGGGACTCAGCATTCAGTCGGTGTGTGTGTGCGTGTGTGTGCGTGTGCATGTGTACTTGTAGAGGAGGGTTGATTGTCCACCTGACAGCCGTTGCCATCCCCTCTTCCCTGCTGGATGCCAATTTGCATTTTTCTGGCACGTTTTGCGGCTAGAGTGGTCATGTGACACTGTTCTGGCCAATGAGGCGATGGAGGAAGGCCCCCGGGGGCTTCTGGGAGTGCCTGCCTTCGCAGCTGGAGAGAGCCCTCCTCAGGGGCTGTCTCTGCCTTCCCTTCTTCCCATGTGTATCTGGGGCAGCTGAGGCAGGGCTAGGAGAAGAGCCCAGGTTCCTCCTGCCACCTCCAAGCGATGAAGCAGCCCTGGGCCAACTCCAGCATTCTCGTGTGAACTGCAGAGGAGCCCTGCGCTTCCAGCTACTTGCAGCCAGGTGCTGTTACCTACGCCCCACGCACCCTCACAGACCTGTGTACAAGGGCACAAGTACCTCCCCTGGAGCTGGCAGGAGGTGCAGTCGGAAGAGCATCTGGTCCCTGAGGCCTCCCTGTGCCTCCCCCTGGACCCCCAGGGTGTCCGTGTTCCCAGTTGTTGACCCTCGGGTGCGTCTGTCGCGTCTGCTCTCTTCTCCTCCAGGCAGGGAGCTCCTGGACCACGTCTTGCTCCCCTCTCGATCTTCAGGCCCACCCTGTGCTCCCCCGTAGGAGACATAGTAACTGGTTCAGCCAACCAGGTTAACTCAACCAGCGAGCGCTGTGGGTCCTGGTCTTGCTGACAGCTGTTGCTTTACTCCTTTCTTGTTTTTGGTGTCCTCCCTGCGAAGCCTGCGTATTGGTTGTTCACAGAAAGCCCACCAGGTGGTCTGAAGAGAGGGAAGTGGGAAAACAGACTTTAATTAAAAGGGCCGGGGCCATGGAAATAGCTGTTCTCTAGGGTTTGGTTAGAGACAGACAATCCTCCAAAGACCCAGACAGAGATGTGTCCCTGTCCTCACGCTCAGTTTTCATTGCGGAAGCAGAAATCAAATAAGAGCCAACTTAAATTCTTTTAATTATGGAACATTTTAAGCCTACAGAAAAAACACATCATTGTTACCGTTGTTTCTGGCATTAAGGTCTCTTTTTTCTTTTTAAGAGTGAAAAATGAAGTTTTCCAGACAAACCCTTAACTAATTCAGTATTTCAAAAGTGAAATACAGGCTGAACATCCCAAATCTGAAATCTGAAATGCTCTAAAATTCAAAATTTTTTGAGCACTGACATGCTGCTTAAAGGAAATGCTCACCGGAGCATTTCAGAGTGTAGATACTCAGAAATATTCCAAATATGCTAAAATTGGAAAAGCTTTGAAATCTGAAACACTTCTGGTGTTTCGGATAAGGGATGCTCAACCTGTAGTGAGTGAGTGGTTGGAAGTTAGAACATATTCTTCTGTAGAAACAAACCTGTTTGACCCACAATTTGGCCAATATACGGAGATTTGAGATGAAAAACTTACAAAATGATAGAATGACTGGCTGTCATTTTACCAGTAAGGAAACAAACCCAGAGAAGTGAAGTCAGGATTTAGGTTTGTGGACCTTTTATTTAAGGTTCTTTCTACTCTGCCATACGTTACTAGTGACTTCAGACAACAGTGTCGAATCTCATCAGCCAAAACCCACCAGGAACACAACGTGTAGTTATACAGAAGTTGGCTTCGTTTAGCTTGCTTCTGCCGGGGCCAGTGTACCCAGAAGAACCCTGGGACTATTTTGGAAAGGCAGACTTGGGGTTGTTGTTGGACTGGGTGATTTGAAGGTGGAATTAGGGAAATGGGACCAGATCTGGGTTGGATGTGGCCAGGAGGCAGAAACAATTCAGTGATTGGGTATCCAACAACTTTTATCTAGGAGGTAGGAGATTAAAGTAGAGTTAGAGTGGCCATGCAGTAAAGAATTTGCAATCATACATGTTGGTGAGAAAAGGGGGCATCTGGTTATTTTTGTGGTAGTAATGTGGGCCCATCTGTGTCCGTTTTTGAGCATTCATTATGTTCTGATGGGAATATGGGGGTCAGGTTGTCAATTAGACTGGTCTTTACTTTGAAGGTCGGTAGGGTTGAATTTAATTTGTTCACCAACTTACTTAATTTCATTCTGAATGCTGATGCTTGAGGAATAGGTTTTAATGGAGCAAGATGCAGTGGGAAGTAGGGACTTAGAGGATGTCTAAATAACCGTGTCTGAGCAGTCACTGGTTTTTAAACATTGTAGCTGCTCAATGGTAATAATGCAAATTTTAAAAAAGGCAGATGGGTAGTTTTCGCCTAGCTTGAGAAGCTTTAAAAATCATCATGACGACTGTACTATCTTAAAACGTGATCAGCTATAGAAGCAGATAAAACTGTCGAGCTGTTATTAAAGTGTACTTACAGTTGAAACATATTAGTCTTCAAAGATGCCATCCAGTTACTGATCCAGAGGTAATGTTAATGGTGGTGTTACTCACGGTGCCAAAACACCCACAGATCAGTAGAAAATGTGGACAGTCAATTTAGAAAATTTGCAAAGCAGTCAGAAGTGAGAGGCAGTGTTGGGTAGTGAAGAGTGGACCAGACTCCAATCTTGGTCCTAGTCCGAGCTTTGCCACTGTGTGGTCCAGAATGTCTTTGCCACTCTCTTAACTTAGTCATTTCATCTCTCTGGGCCTCAGTTTCCTCATCTGTCATAATGAGGAAGTTGAACACCTGGTCTCTGTGTTCCTTCTAAAGTTTCTGTCATTAAGTCTGTTTGAAGATAGTCTCTTCTTTTGAAAGTATTAGTTTGTTTGGCCAGTTGGGCCAGGTCATAAATATTACGGAATTATTAGTCAGCTCTTGAAGACAGGAATGTTTGAGGGCTTTGAAAGCTAGCCCAGCAGGAAGCTTTTCGTGGTCTGTGTATTTTCCTTCCTCTCAGGAATGATTAGGCCGAAATCAACCATCTTCTCAGTCCATCCTCTTTGTAGTTTCCTGAGATGAATGACCGAGGTGTTTTCTCCTCAGAAAATAACATAGGAGAAAAATTCCAAGGGAGGTCTCTTTATTCAGGAACTTGCAATTTAGGAATTAAGTGTGATAACTTTATTTTACCAATTTTAATTTTGTGACTATAACATAATATAAATAAGGATTCTGTTACATGCAAATTTTGAAATCATGCAAAAACCAAAAAAGGAAAAGAAGTCAATCAAAACTTGTATAATTTCAAAGATGGTGGCCAGGTGGTTTGGAAGCTGTGCATGGGATTGCCACATGGCCTCTCCCCTCTAGCAGGCAACAGGTGCCTTGTGTGTTTAGTCAGTATCTGCTGCATGTCATTGCTGATGGCATTCAAGTTTTTGCTTATGTGTGCTGGTATTTAATGTTCACTTAGATCTAAATATCTTTTTTTAGCCTTCAAAGATGTCAACCAGGTATTCATCAAGAGATATATTAATGGGGATGTTAGTGATAGAGCCCAGGACACCCCCAGCCCCCAGATCAATAGCTTTGTAACAGAAGCGCTAAACCACTATGAAGGTGATCAGACAACAGGGGGATGCATCCTGCCATTAATTTAGCAGAAAGAGCACACGTCCAAATAGGAGAGTTAAAATAGAGAGGTGCTGTAGCAAAGTGGCTCAGAGCATGGACTCTGGAGCTAGCTGCATGATGCTGCTAGCTGCCATTTAATTAGCCTTGTAGATTTAGGCAAGTCACCTAGTCTCGCTGGGCCTTAATTTCCCTATCTGTATGATGGAATAAATTTAATGTCTACTGCAAAGGTTATGTGACACTTAGCAAACATGATAAAACACAGGTTGCCGGGCCCACCCCCCAGAGACTGACTCACTGCATCTCCGATATTTGCATTTAACTAATTCCATGATGGTGCCGATGCCTCGGACCCTGGGATGACACTTTGAGGATCACCATGCTGTGCATTTGTACACACAGACACACACGTAGGCATTTGTTTTCCAAAGTAAAGGGCATACTGTTTGGAGCCTAATGTTTTTCTCCTATTTAGTGCCTTGTGAATATTTTCCCTTTCATTATTTATTCTAATAATGGATGATTTTAAGCTGCACTGTATTCCATTATTAGATATTTAAATGGCTTCCATTTTTTCCGCTATCATAGACCATGCCGGAATAAATATCATTCTGTGTACACTTGTCTACATCTCTGTTGATGTCTTTAGGGTAAATTCCTAAAAGTGGAATTACTGCGTTCAAGGGTGTTTCACGGTAAGGCCTTTTGCTACACATTGCCAACAAATTCTTCAGAGAGTAGCAGAAATTTGTCTTCTTACAAGTAGTCTATGAGAGTAGATGCTGATTTTCTAAATGTAAGGGAATAAGAAAAACTTCATGATTAACTTTTTTCACGTGTATTTGGGCTTTGGTGGGAGTAGGCAAGAAGAATATCCGTGGATTTATAGAGTAAGCAAAAGTATGTCAGGAAAAACTAGGAAGAATAGGGCTGAACTGTGGCTTGATTTCAGGAGAGTTTCTGGGATTCAGACTTGAATTAACTGAATGATGCTGTAATGTATAAGTGTTGGTATAGGTGATTTTATGCAAAGAAGAATAAACATTGGCTTACTTTTATTTATCGTATACGGTATGGGTGACTACTGCTGCTAGTTCAAGGGTCTTGATTTTTTAAAAATGTGTTTCTTGACTGTGGTAGCTGGGAGCCCCAGGATACAGACTTTTGGTTAAATAACATCTGCTCCACTCTGCCTTCCCGTGTGGGCCTCTCTAACCCTGGGCCAAGCAGTTGAGTCTCTCCTCGGGGTGCCTGGAGTGAGGGTGGATACAGCTTGGGTAATTCAGCATCTGTACCTAAAAACTTACTCAATGTAGGCTTCATGTAAAGAAGTCAGTGGTTCTTGGGAACAGGGGTGAGTGAATGGAGGCGAAAGGTGGGGCCCTCCACAGGTCAGTCAGGCCCTCAGGGTGGGACAAGAGCTGTAGGGCTCTTGGTTATAAACCTGTGTGGTGGAGACCAGCAGGTGAGCCAAACTCTTCTTTATTATCAGAACATTTCACTAATAAGGGATCTCAAGGGTCATCTGGCACAGCCTTCTCTTTTTGCAGATAAGGAAGCTAAATAATTTATTATTTCAGTTAAGCTTCACCATATGAGAGTTTTTGGTTTTTTTTTTTTTTTTTTAAAGTTTTTAGGATCAGATAGTGAACCTTGGAACAGAATTGGCTGCTTTTTGTTTCTTTTTTCTGGAAGTGCTGAACTTTAGAGAATTGTGGCTGCATGGTAGACAGGCAAAACAGGAAGGACACAGTGCAGCTGAGAGCGAGGGTGGCCTGTGGTCTCTCGTTTGGCCTGGAGAACGGGCTGATTTCAACTCCTCCTGCACTGCTCCTGAGTCACGGGTCCTACACCACCGTGCCTCTCTCCCGAGCTCAGGAGGCCGAGCTCAGGACTGCATGCTCCTTCCTGAGTGGTCTCCAAAGGCTTCAGAGTGGCCTTGGATGAAGAGCTGCTCACTTCTGTGCCAGTCATGTTTTTTAGAATTTACGTACTAGTTTTCTTCTTGCAATTCAAAAAAGTGTTTTTTTTCTTTTCCTTTTAGTAAAGAAACACGTATGACGGGTTATTTCTTTTAAAAAGCAACAGCTCCCCTGAACACCAAACTGTGCCTTTTACCACTGGGTGACACTGTTAGACCACAGAACGTGCTTTGCTGGTAAAATCAAGAGTCCTTGAATTTCAGATTTCATCAAGCTACTTTACATAGGAGAGAGAAACTCCAAATCACTTAATAGTCATCTATCAAATGTTATTTGATAAGTGTAATTTATCAATTTTAAGGCCAATGAGTTTAAGGCAATCAGTTATTAAAGAAATCCATTAATTGGGCAGGATTTCCATTGCTTAGAAGTTTTTGCAGATTAATGTGCTGCATATTAATGAACTAATTATTTCATGGGAATATTTATGCAAGCCAGTGTACTAATATATCTATTTCTCACCAGACAAAAGTCTAAGTTATCTTTCTTTGGCAAAAGACTCACTGTTGATACACAGCAATTAATGTTACGGAGTTTTAGTGAGGATTTTTTTGAGCCATCTTAAAAGCACGTCTGTTGGTTAGAGAAATGGGTATTTGGTTCTCTGTACTGGTATGTGTTAAGAAGATTATGTCTTACTATTTCTGAGCTCTTTCAAGATCAAATGAAGACAGAATTGTTCAAAGCGTGGGTTGACCTCCCCTACTCAGTTTTTGGCTCCTTTTGGAAATCTGATGTCTGCCCTTCTAAGCGTAAGGTGAGCATTATCTGGTCAGTTTCAGCTGACCACTATGTGACTGAGATGTTTCTGAGGTTAAGAATTGAGTGCGAGTCAGGCCCTCCCTTTGTGGGGTTAACATGAGAAAGAAGACAACTTCAAATTTAATTTTAATAGAATCAGACTTCAGTATCCTACAAGAGGTATTAATGGAGTCCTGCAGGAGTGTAAAGGGGAAACACTGAGGAGGAGCCAGGGAAGACTTGGTGGGGTGAGTTCCTTCATTTGGGTACTCTAAACCGCCCGTATTATCCTGTTCATTCAATACTTTTTTTTTTTTTTTTTTTTGAGATGGAGTCTCACTGCATTGCCCAGGCTGGAGTGAAGTGGCGCGACCTTGGCTCACTGCAGCCTCTGCCTCCTGCGTTCAAGCGATTCTCGTGCCTCAGCCTCCTAAGTAGCTGGGACTACACACATGCACCACGATGCCTGGCTCATTTTTGTATTATTATTATTATTTTTTTAAGTAGAGATGGGGTTTCTACTTGGCCAAGCTGGTCTCAAACTCCTGATCTCAAGTGATCTGCCTGCCTCAGCCTCTCAAAAGTGATGGGATTTACAGGCGTGAGCCACTGTGCCCGGCCCATTCAGTACGTTTTAATACGGTGCACACAGTGTGACATACAGCCCAGGGCTGGGGAAGGCAATAGGAGGTAAGATGAGAGGTTTGCTGGCCTCTGGAGGTCAGCCAGAGGCACAAGGAGTCGGCAGCTCCAGCTTTCTCCTAGCTCTTCTGTGTCTGCTAGTCACTGTGAGGCCACTGCTACTTTGTATGGCTTATGTACAAGCCATTGTGCCAGAGCATAGGGGAGAGGATGGAAGTCACTCAGAGGTCTTTTCCCTTCTGCAGAGATTGACTTCTGTGTCCTTCAAGGGGAGACAGTGTGGAAACGTGGGAAATTAGCCCACAGGCGGGGAAGTGCCTGAGGCAAGGGGCGTCCAGTGGAGTCTTCCACAGCAGTTCAAACAGTAGGACATGTCTCCGGAGGAGAGGCCCCGGGAAGACTCGGGGAGGCAGGCTGTGAGCTGGTCTTTGCAAGGTGCCTGGAGTTTTACTGGCTGGGGAGGAGGGATTTCTGCCCAGGAGGAAATCGGAAGCAGAGGTGGAGATGGGAACGTGCACGGGCTTGGTGTGTACTGGCTGCCTAGAGTTGATGCCAGAGAGTTAAGAACCACACATTTGTAAAGGTAATTGAGGACTCCACTATCGAGAAGGGGGCCACAGAAGGCCAAGCAGTTTAGCATCCTCTCCTGAGGTGACCAGTGATGCTCGGCTTGGTAGCCCTGATCTGATTAAATGAGTTAGCTCATTGGATTTGACTGAGGATGCAGCCGGATTAGAGGGAAAGGCAACCGGAGGGGATGGAGGCCATGGAGAAGCCAAGTGCACAATTCCCAGGATGAGGGATGAGCGACTGGTGATAGGGGGCGATTTTCAGATGCGTTTATGGAAGGGAACTGATGATCGATTCTGTACTTAGGGTTGAAACCTGTGAGATAGAACCTTTGGGAGAAATAAGGAAGTTAAGGGAAGACTGCGAGGGATTGTTTCTCAGTGGAAGAATGGTGTGTGTGCTGTCGTCTCTGTTGCTTTTGAGAAACAATAGCTCAAACTCAAATTCGCCTGGGATGACTTCTGCTACAGTGTAGGCCCTGTGGGGTGGGGTTGGCTCTGTCCTTTCAGTGTCCTTTCCAGCACCTGGGCAGTGTCTGGCACCTCAGAGGCCTTCAATAAATCGTGAGTAAAGGGGAGCTCAACTTGACACCTGTTGATTCTGAGGTGAACATTCCAGTACGAAGTTGGAATTTCAGAGCCAGAGCTTGGGAAGTCAGGAACTATCTCCACACACACTTTAGAAACAGCTCTTGTAGCAGAAGGGGTAAAGGTGTATGGGGTTTCCAGAGGCATGATCGAGAGAAGAGGACAGGGCTGTGGCCCTCTGCCTGGACTGCTGGTGGCGTTAAAGGGAGGGAAGAGGAAGTGTGGGCAGAAAGCTGGGGGAGAACAGGGGGAGGACAGAGGGAGGGTGGTCCAGGGGCTGCCTTCGCATCAGCAAGGAAATACCAGCCCCAGACCCAGGAGAGGCCCAGGAGAGTGTCACCAAAGGAGGGAGCCCTGGATGGCCTGAGAAAACCCTGCCGGGTGTGGACTGTCATGCGGATAGAAACATGCTGTTGCTGTGAATATTTGAAGGATGACATTTGTTGTCTGTTAGTGACCACGGATCACAGCCCTTGGGGACAGACATTGAGGGCCAGAAGCACAGGCACTTCTTACCAGAAAAAACACCTGACAGGCCAAGTGACACTGCCAGCTCCTAGGTAGCAGTTGGTCTGGGGAACATTAGCCAAGGTCCTTCTCAGGGTGAAATTTCTCTGGAATAGTTCTCAGGCCCAGCCATTGCCCTAGGAATAAGCTCAAATGCACCTCTTTGGTTGATAAACATTCTGTGCTTTGGGGCTTCAGATGGGACTGACTAGGGCTGGGACACCCAGAGCTGCAGAGTGGAGCAGGCTCTGCCTGTGTGTCACGTCCACATGGTGAACATGGCAGACGTCTGGTCGCCCTTCTCGTTTCTCCATAGATGTGCTGCTGTTGGCTGAACCTAGGGGACATTCCTCTCTCCCACCAGGTACTACTCACAGGATGAGGGTAGTTCTGCAGTCTACCAGGGAATTCTAGAATCTGCACAGGAGTAGAGGAAGTGAGGGTGCAGGGTTTGTGTCTTATCTGCAGTCCTAGGACTTTCAACTGGGTGAAAAAAGTCACCAAGGATCAGCCTCTTGCCAAGACAAGGGGCTGTTATAGTTGTCTGTGGGCCCTTGAAGGATTTTATTCCCCCCTTAAGCCATTTTTACCTCCTTCCCTGAGCCAGGAATTGAATGAATCTTTGTTTATTTTAAATTAGTTTTCTTCTATCTAGAGACTTCTTGTTCTCACACCCTAGAGTATTTTTGTTTTTGTTTTCATTTTCTCTCTGTATTTTGTCTTCAGTCTTTTCTAAGTTTGTTTGAATATCCAACTTCCTGGCAAAACTAGATTATGTGAGAACTGCTTTGTTTTTTTTTAACTTTGGCTTTGATCATGATATATTTGGACAATATAGAAAATGCCTCTTTTTAGCCAAGATGCAGACTTTGGGGAGGTACAAGGCTGAAGAAATTTAGTTGCAGGAGTAATTTGCTAGTTTGCATGGAAAGCAGCCCAAACTGTCATTGCTTGACCATCAGCCTCACTTTCTTCTGACAGATACCAGCTGGGTCTTGGGTACCCAACTTTGGCACAAGCCTCTCTGAGATCCTGCTCCAGTCATTTTCTTTCTTCCACAGCACTTTCTCCCTTCCCTGTCCACACTGGAAAAATGAGCAGAGGCCAAGATTGGGTTCATCATTATTCTTTGTTTAAACTAGTGTACTTGCGGTATACGGTCATTCACTTTCATGTTGATGGAACATTAAGTAATGGAGAGTTAGAGTAATGAATTAGTTTGTTGGGACTGTTTGCCTACTTTGTTGAGCATCTGCCACGTGGGCAAGTACTGTGGATGGTAGATGTTTTCCATGAGTTTTCAAGAATGCTGAGACCAACTCTGCATATGCAAGTGTACTAGCTCTGATTTCCAGTTGAGGAATCAAGACTCAGGTTAAATAATTTTATAAAATCAATAATTGATGAGTGACCTAACCAGGGATTCTAATTCAAGATGGGTGGTCTTCAAGCCTGATGCTTTTTTCCATTATGCTGTATAACTTCCCATGGACTATGGATGAAATGACAGAATTGTCATTATGCAGCAGCAACCAAGTGACTTGTGGATAGTAATTTTAATAGCTGTTGAACGTGTACTCTTACACATGCAGAGGAGGGCATGCACCAAAAAAGTGTACTGATTGAGGGTGAATGTTTAGAGGAAACACACCTGTGTCACCAGAATCTGTATTATCCAGAAACAATCTTTTCCAGACCCTGGAAGCCCCATTGGTACTGCCGTCTATTCACTCCCGAAATAAGCATTATCCTGACACCTAACATCAAAGGTTGGTTTTGCCTGATTTTGAACATTATGTACATGGACGCATGCAGTATATACTCTTCTGCATCTTGCTTTGTTTGCTTAACGTTGTATTTGTGAGATTCAGCTGTGCTTTGCTTGCAGAATTGCCAGTTCATTCTCATTGCTGCATAGTATTCCACTATGTCAGCACACCGCTGTTTACTTACCCATCCTACTGTTAGTGGACATTTGAGTTGCCTCCAGTTTGGGACTATTATGAATGGCCTGCCATTAACATTCTTATAAAAATCATTTATATTGATATATTTTAATGAAATATGTCTTTCCTGCCTCCCATCTCACTTTAATGTCATCCTTTGCAAGATGTTTTCTGTTTGGGATCGTAAAGCTGTGATGTTAGAAAGGTTCTAAAGTCCTGTTGAGAGACAGGAAATCATTCTGTTAAAGTCAAATCTGGTTCGTCCATCCATCATCCCAGCCCATGGAGTGCCTAAGAGCTTCCTTTTGGAATTACACAGACTCAAGGTCAAATCTTGGTCCTGCTCTTAAGCAGCTTGGTAACCTTGGGCAGCAGTGACAGCATTATTGTTACTAATTTATTCTTATTCGTTGCCAGTGACAGCGCTAATAGCAGGTGATGTCTATTGAAGGCTTACTGTGTTGTAGGCATTGCGTTTGGTGCATTTCATTTTTTTTTTTTTTTTTTTTGAGACAGAGTCTCACTCTGTCGCCAGGCTGGAGTGCAGTGGCGCAATCTCAGCCCACTGCAGTCTCCGCCTCCTGGGTTCAAGCTATTCTCCTGCCTCAGCCTCCCGAGTAGCTGGTATTACAGGTGCATGCCACCACACCCAACTTTTTGTATTTTTAGTAGAGACAGGGTTTCACCGTGTTGGCCAGGATGGTCTCGATCTCTGGACCTCATGATCCGCCCGCCTCGGCCTCCCAAAGTGCTGGGATTACAGGTATGAGCCACCGCAGCCCAGCAGTTGCATTTCTTATTTACTCTTCATAGCAACCCTGTGAGATCTGTCAGTCCTTTTTCATTGTTGCCTTGTTAAACTGGCGAAGGCCCTTACCCAAGATCACACTTAGAGCAAGTGAGGAAGCTGGAATGCAGATGCGGGTTGCCCCACCCAAACCCATGCTCTTGAAGCTGTCAGCCTCATTTGGAGACTGGGAAGTCATGACCCCTGCCTCATGGGCCGTATGAGGACCAAGTGACAGGGGAAGCTTACATATACCCCCAGGTGACATGGACACCAGCTCCAAGATGGATTCCTTTCCCTGCATCTCTCAGAATGGCCAGCTGCTTTTGGGGTGTGCTTTGACTACAGTGCAGGAAGGCGGAGTGGGCATGGCTGCTCCACTCTGGCTGTCCTAAGGAAAGCGGACCTGCCATTCCAGGTCTGGACACCTCATTAGTTGAGGAGGTGTCGCCACCTATTGGTCGTTCCCACCTCACTCGGGCCAGCTTCTGGTTGCTGTAGTGTAGGCAGATGTCTGTCGGATGTTTCTTGCCCTCCTTAGTTGTCACTCCCTCCTCCTCTGCCATTTTCTAAATATAAAATATGTGCCTTATTTGTAAAAATACATTTTCGGGGGATGAAAAAACTGATGAGAAAATGAGTTTGATACTTTCCCAAGAGCATCACTGTTTGGCATTTGTACAACAACATATTGGCAGCAAATTTATTGAGTTCGTCATTGTTTTAAATGACCATCCTGGGAAGCCACAGAGGACTGTCCCGTAGCCATAGTGGAGCTTGGCAGAGTATGAAACAATAACGTCTCTGCACTTACGCTGATGACTCTGGTGGGACGTCGTTTCTAAGCCTTGGTGCACCAGGTTGGTGGCCACAGAAATCCCCTGGGCACTTGTCTGTTGCCTGGTCTAAGATGGAAATTTTTAGGTTTGCCTTAGGGCCAGGCAAGTCAGGAGTTTGTGATGAAACCAACTGCACTTTGGGAAAAATTCTTACCGGAACTCAGGCTCCTGCCTGTCTGGGAACTGTGGGTGCTGAGAGAGAGGCTTTGGATCTAAGAGGTGTCTTTCCCTTTTCAGGCTGACCCGGCCTGGAGTTTGCCGCCTCCACCTTACGTAACTTGGGTTTCTCAGGGTATTGCCAGAGGGTTGGCAGAATCTTAGAGACAGCTTAGGAAACAGATTCTCCAAAAGTATCTTGGAATTACTTTTAACTTTCCAGACGTTTTAGCAGTTCAAAAGGTTGTTTCACTTTGGTTGGTGGTAGCGCACCTGTAAACTGTACACGTTGCCACGTGCCAAGAGATTGTTTTAGAAAGGATTCAAGTATTAGTGCTTCTAGATAGAATTAGGTCTTATATATTTAGGTAAACATGAAAACTAGCATAATCTGTAAATTCTGATTTTTAAATCTTAGAGGATTAGGTTTTGAATTCATCTCTTTGATGTAGAAATATGCAGACATGGAACCAGAGCAGTCTGCTGGGGCAAGCCAGCTACGGTCTGGGTTTGTTTTATCAGCCCAGTTGTGAAAGTTTTCCGAGGGAATGGTAATTCACCTCTGGAAAGCAGTCAACAGAAGTACCTGGGATAGCCAGAGAGCTGGGCCCGGAGTGAACTTTGGAAAGGGAAAAACATGAAAAGCAAGGACTCAAAATCCATCTGTAAGCATGGGATTTCCCAGTGCTCTGGGATAGTAGAGTCAAATAATGACTTCCGTGTGTTGCTCAGTGGAAATTAAAGGTAGAATTCTCATCAGGCAGCATTTTTCAGTGCATAGTGTGTCTGTCTGAAATACAATTCTGTTATTACTCAACAGCTTGAAAATCTTTCAGTGAGTCCCCTCCATTCAGAACAGCACGAGAGGCCCTTGTCATCAGGCCTGTCTGTTTCCTGCCCCACTCTGAACGACTGGAGCCATTCAGAACTTCATGCAGCACCTTGGCAGTGTGATAGACAGACCTTTTTAGACTTTCCAGAAGCTTCTTATGTTAGTTGCATGAATAGGTCCAAGAACCATTGAACGTTGTCAGTGAGAAAGTCTGTGGGTCATTCAACTGAAGTTACAGTTTTGAAGAAATCAAAGCCCAGAGAAGTAGAGTTTCCTATACAGAGTTTTCCAGGCCTCTAAATAAAGTATGTAATGTTGCTGGTTGCATAGTTGGGCTTATAATAGCTTCTATTGAGTTCTCATGTTTGTGCCAGGGATTAGAGAGAGTCTTTGCATATACATTTTACTCAGTTTTTACAGCATTCATTTTACACATAGGAGAGCTGGGGGTCAGGGAAGTTAGGATTTGTCCAGGATCTCAAACCAGTTTTATTTCTCCTTCACTGAGCTGGTCCTGGTTTTCCTTAATTGACTTAATACATTAAAAAAAGTTACTTTGAGTAAGTTACTTGACCAGTGAAGTGACTGTGACAAGATTATCTTTGTGTTTATTTCTAGAAATGATGTTTCATGTCAGTAATAATATTTGCTTGCAAAGTACTTGTACCTCTAGACATTTCTACCCCATCTTTACTCTCAGGCTCCTGGATTCCTTGTTGCTCAGAGAGGAAATGTACCTGGCCGCTCAACCCCACTTTCTGCACTACACCTTATGGCGGTGGAATCCAAATGGCTCAGGGACACCCTCTGTCGTTAGCCCATGCCTTTGTTACTTCATTTAAGTAATGCTTTCTGAACAGGTCCAAGGGGTCAAAAGAATAGGAACATAAACCAGACATGTTCTTTGCAGTGAAGAGAGGATAAGATTTATATCCACATTGCTATAATACAAGGCGGTGGTTGACGAATTACTAGGAAAAAAGAACAAAGAACATCCCATAGAATTTGGGAAGGCGTCAGGGCAGATGCGGCATTTATTTGGATCTGCTGGATGCGTGAGTTTGGCTTTGTGGAGATCCGGGGCTGCGGTGGGAAAAGCCTCAGCACGCCTTCGGAGGGTGCAGTGCTGCTGTAAGCATGCTGGTGGAGGGAAGGCGGGGTGTGAGGATGTGGGGAGCAAGAACATTTGTTTCAGCTTGATCGGAAGATAGGATTTGTGAGACGCAAGAGTTGCCTTATACCAGAGTTGTATTTTCCAGCGTTGGTAGCAGTGAGCAGGATGGCTGGCAGAGGGAAGAGAGCTGTGAAGAAGGTCATAGTGATGGTTATTGCCATGTGTTAGTCACAGCTCCAGGGCGGGGTGTCACTGAGAAGCAGCTGGAACCCAGATCCCACATGGTTCTCCCGCCACCACCACTGCCCTGAGTACAAAGACTCAAGGAGGGGGTTGCTCCGGCCCGTTCACCCCCTTGTTACTAAATGACCATTTCCCAGACCCCAGTGTGGCCTTTGCATGAGGAGCTGCAGGGACCATGCCACCTGTTCTGAGGACAGGCTTAAGGTCTCCATGCTTAACTCAGACTGAGAGGCTCCTGTGCACCCCCTTTTCCAGCTCCAGTTGTGAAGAAGGACAAACCAGTGAAAAAGAAGGAAGATGTTTGCCCCTGTGTTGACAGCATATACATATACTTCACCACACTGTCCCACGGAAAAACATCCTCCTGGGCTGAAATCCTAAATGCACTACACGCACTTCTGTGCAGCCACAAGTGTCTGAAAAGTCAACCGCAGCCCCCCCCTCCTGCACCGGCTCGCAGTGCCCGTGTCTCTCTAATAGGAGACAGGCTTGGGTGCCCCTCACCCCACTGGTCCTATGTGAGAAGAAAGATTTCCAAGCAACTAAATCTAAAGAGAAGTCAGAAAAACATCCCAAGCTAGGGCCTGTTTCCTAGATTCAGAACTAAAGTCATTTCATTCTGTGCACTGGAAGCTCAACCTCCCTCCTGGCAACAAGGCCCAAGTCATGTTTGCACCTCAACACTGACGTCCAGGAAAGGCTGAGTGGGCATCTTATGCTGTCTCTAGTTGAGGGGGAAGTGGGAGTGCGGGACAGAGGATGAGGGGACGGAAAGCGGAGGGCAGGCAAAGCCTGAGACTGCAGAGGGCCAGTCAGTCAGGTAAACGAGAGCGAGTCAGTCAGGTAAAGGAGAGCGAGTCACCCAGGCTTGAGCGCTGGCTGCACTTGCCCTCTCAATGTCACCTCTTTCATGTCGATCAGACGTCTCAGACTCGACACGTCCTAGATCCACTTGCTCTTTCAGCCTCCCGTCATGGCAACTTGAGCCTTCTGGTTGCTCAGGCCGGAAACCTCCAAGTCATCCTTGATTCCTCAGTGCTTTTCACGCCTCGTGTCCAGTCCTTCAGGAAGTCCCAGAGACTTTACCTTTAAAATACATCTTGAATCAGGCTCTCCGCCTACCTATGCTGCTGCTGCGTGAGTCTAAAGCATCTCTCACCTGGATGACCTTTGCATCTGCCGCCCTGCCTGCCTGCAGCCCGTTCTAAACCTGGGAGCTGGAGTAATCTTTTAACTCATGAGTCAGATACCGTCATTACTCTGCTCAGAACCTGGAAATGACTCCCCATGGCCCTCAGGGTGAAGACCAGAATGCCAGCACTGGTGTTCAAGTTCCCACGCTCTATATCCTCACCATCCCTCCCTCCCCTGCAGCCAGCCTCGCGCTTTGCCATTCCTCATCCCCCCCAGGCACCCTCCTACCCTGTGGCCTTTGCATGCGCTCTTCTCGCTGCTGATCACGGCCCGCTCTTCTGTCACATTCCCTCCAGCTCCTCCCCAAATGTAATAACGAGGTCAAGGTCAGAGGCAGTTGTCTGTTTGGGTTTGGCATCGTGGAGATTATCTATGGTGAAGGGCAGAAATACGGAGCCTTTTATGGAAGTGTGTAGCCTTCTTGGTCTATGATTAACTAGAAGGAAACTGCAGTTGATTTTTCAGACACTTGTGGCTGAGCAGAGGTGTATGTAGTGCATTTAGGATTTTGCCGAGGAGCACGTTTTTCCATGGGACAGTGTGTTGATATCAGGCTGGCTGTGATGGGTTCCCTGAGTCACCCTCTGCGAGGTTTGTAATTCTCAATTCAGTTCAGGTTGCAGGCATTCTTGTTGTTAAAAGAGCAATGCAACTAGTGTCTGAGGAATGTTTGGTGTAATTTATTATATATGCCTTACTGTTTGATAATTTTGAGCCTAATCATGGAGTGATATTTAAGATATTTAAACAAATGTTGCAGCTACATTATTTTTCAGTTGACTTAGCCTTTGGATTTTCATTCTCTTTATTTTCACATTAACTTTGTAAAGATGTTGCTTTGGTTTGGTGGACAGAACATAACACGGGGAGGTGCTGGGGGCAGGGTCATACTTTTCAGCAGGGCAGCTAGGAGGTCAGGCCTCTCTGAGAAGGTGACATTTGAGGAAAGGCCTGGAAGGATACAAGCAGGATGAAGCCCACAAGGTGCTTAAGGAAGGAGACAGTGAGCAGTGTCACAGGCCAGCGAGCACCGTGCTGAGAACTAGAAGCCTTTTCCACTGGCACAGGGTCAGCATTGATATGTTTGTAGCATAGATTGATTTGCTGAGGCTGAAGGATTAGCAGTAAAGGACCTGGGTCCGGTGCCTATTGACCAACAAGTGAAACAACAAGCACTAAAACTTAGAGAAATCGCAGTTAGATTTATTTGGAGCCAAGTTTGAGGACTTACTTAAGCCTGAGAACACAGACTCAGTGTAGACTGAGAATGGGTTCCAAAGTAAGTTATGTGAGGCGCAATATATATACGTTTCATTCCCTTTCCTTTTCTATTTTGTTTTGTTTGAGACAGAGTCTCTCTCTGTTTCCCAGGCTGAGTGCAATGGTGCGATCTCGGCTCACTGCAACCTCTTGCCTCCTGGCTTCAAGCGATTCTCCTGCCTCAGCCTCCTAAGTAGCTGGGACTACGCCACCACGCCTGGCTATTTTTTGTATTTTTAGTAGAGACAGGGTTTCATCATATTGGCCAGGCTGGTCTCAAACCCCTGGCCTCAAGTGATCTAGCCACCTTAGCCTCCCAAAGTGCTGGGGTTACATATATGAGCCACTGTGCCCAGCCTCTTTTTTTTTTTTTTTTTTCTTTTCTTTTAGAGATATGAGGTCTTGCTCTTGCTCTGTCACCCAGGCTGGAGTGCGGTGGTGCAATCATAGCCCACTGCAGCCTCTCAACTCTTGGGCTCAAGTGATTCTCCCACCTCAGCCTCCTGAGTAGCTGAGACTATAGGCATGTACCACTATGCCCAGGGCATTTCCAATGTTTTTTAAACATATGGGGTCTTGCTATGTTGCCCAGGCTGGTCTTGAGCTCCTGGCCTCAGTGATCCTCCCACAACAGCCTCCCAAAGTGCTGGGATTACAGGCATGAGCCACCTTGCTCGGCCTTGTATTTTGTAACAGGGGAATACATGTGGCACAGCGGTGGGCGAAGCAGGCAGTGAAGCAGCGGTTTCAGTCCTGTGATTGTGATTGGTGGTCACAGAGGCTGTGCATAAGATAAATAAGGTAAATATGCAGCTGAGTGGGTAGGAGAAAGGTTAGGCATCTTAGAGTCTGGTGGAGGGTGACTGATTCCATCCCGTCTTTGTTCTGTATCTGGTAAACAGATTTATGACCAATAACCATCAGTGAAATATTTAACAAACTCCAGTAAGATAGGCAAGAGGCCAGCTTTAGTTTATAGGCCCCTCTTTCCTGACACATGTGTCCAACTGCAGCCATTGTGGGCCAGTGTTCCAATTTTCATTTGAACTTTCTTTTTTTCTGACATACTCAAGTGCTTGTTCTGAGGTCGATATGGAGACAGGGTGGCAGGAAGCATCCTTTGTGACCGGAACCCAAGTTGTGGCAGTGGCAGTGATAGAAGTCAGGCCACAGGGCTCCCTGGCCTTAGTCATGGGCAAGACGAGACCAGGCCACCATTCTCTTCCCTGCCCCAGCCCAGTTACATTCCAAGCGCTTTAGAATATTTATCAGCGATGCCCCAGAGTGGACTCAGGAGGATGGCATGTGTTAGCATACTGAGCACAGCTCTGTGGGCCTCTGCATGTGTGGGAAAAGCCTTAGCAAAAACTGCAAATGAGTGTTTCTCATCTTTCTCTTTCAGACAGCCCACCTGAGGATATTGACCATAAGGACTCATATCTCATTACAAGAAGCATCATGGCCGAGCCAGACTACATAGAAGATGACAATCCTGAACTCATTAGGCCTCAGAAACTGATCAATCCTGTAAAAACCTCCCGGAACCATCAAGATCTTCACAGAGAACTTCTTATGAATCAAAAAAGGTAAAATGGTTTCTTGAGCATATTTTTTTTTTAAGAGGACTTTTAAGATCATGATATCTAATTTTAATTGTATTTACAGAGGCTTCAAAGAGTCTTTGATTTCTTGCACTTTGTTAAGGCTTTCTTATTCCTTCTCACATCCTAGAACCGGGTTACCCCTCCGTGAGGCAGATCCCCTGCAGGTGGCCATCACTGTGGTGGCCAGCAGTGCTTCCAGACTCCTGCAGTCACGGGTTCCCTTCTGAAATGGATGTGTATTTCCAAATTCGGATGGAAGAGGCTGGATTAAAGATAGAAGAGAATGTCCTAAGTAGAAGAGAAATATGTTCTTAAATTTAAAATCTCTGAATTTTCTCCTTACACTGGGGAAGGTGTAGGAATCATGTAATTGCCGCCTACTCCGGCATTTGTCAGTAGTGGGGAGAAGTCTCTAGAACCATATTAGACTTAATAGATAGGACACTCATGTTTTTGTTTGTTTGGGGGTAGCATTTTAAAAGATTATTATCATAGTCTTTATTATTAATTATTTTGGAGGACAGGAAAGCATTTACCTTCTATCTACTTTGCAAACTCCATCTGTGCCATAAATCATTATGGATGTTGGGTTGCTATACTCTGCTTTTTAAATAATTTGGGCAGGACAGGAGACTAGGAGAACTGAGGATGAAAGGCTATTTTTTTCAATTTAAGAACTAGGAAGCTTCATTTAGGATTATTTTCAGATCTCGTAGGACTATAGATGACTCATTTGCCCACTCTTTGCTAAGCCCTGGTGAAAGGTCTCCCACTGAACTGAAAGATACGCAGATCAAGTTTAGCATTAGGGTAATTTTTTGCAGGGAGGCCTAGTTAAACAAATGTTTTAAAGAGGATCAAGGGGCATTTTTATGGCAATTCTCTTTCCTGAGTACACTCCAGCTAGAAAAAATGACTCCTATCTATCCCAGGAATTATTTGTAAATACGTTTCTCCCTCTAGAGTGTGAGAATGTGGCTTACTCCTGTTTTATCCCCAGCATATTAGTAGGAAGCTGTTGGATTAATGTATATTAAATTGAATGCAAATAAGATTTTAGCTTCCATCTGCCTTTGTCACACAATAGAAGAAAGAATATATGAATTTGGTATTATTATGGCCAAAGCAAAATGAGACTATCAAGTTCCTAAAATAGACCACAGAATTTAGAAGCCATCCTATCCTGCCTGGGAAATCATGTCTTCATTTTGGTGGAAAGCTCGTCAGTTTAGTAGGCTCCGAAATAGAATAGCAGTTGTCACTCAAAGATTTTCAGATTATCTTCACCTCTTTGGCCTCAGTTCCCTTATCTATAAAGTGTAAGGTAGGAGACTTAGCTGTTCTCTAAGAAACATTTTAGCTCAAATTTTTTCTTCTAGGAAAATCTATGAAAGGGCTCCAAGTCAGAATAAAGGTCAGAGTAAAACCAACATTTGCAGAATAAGTGTTCTCTAAATTATAGGCTATGAATTATTCTGCAAAAATATATTTAGTAGTTTGGGTCATTGCTGTAAAACCTACAGATTTGTGCAGTTGAGTCTGTTTCCACATTTTTTAGAGAAAGGGCTTCCATTCTGTCTGTCTTTGTCTGGCCTGTTCTTCTCCTTGTTTGCCCAGCTCAACTAACCTGAGACAATGCTGGGTTTCCCTAAAGTACTATGGTGTAGAGAGGATGTGGGCTTTGAGGTCAGAGAGAAATGATATGAATCTTGGTTTTACCAGAACTTAACTTTACCTACCTTATGATCTTGGCCAAGGTATCCCCTCTTGAGATCTGTTTCTTCATCTATAAAGTGGGAGATAATAGTATTTTTCTTATAAAAATTAAAGTAGGCTGGGCACCGTGGATCACGCCTGTAATCCCACCACTTTGAGAAGCCAAGGCAGGTGGATCCACTGAGGTCAGGAGTTTGAGACCAGCCTGGCCAACCTGGCGAAACCCTGTCTCTACTAAAAATACAAAAATTAGCCGGGCTTGGTGGCACATGCCTGTAATCCCAACCACTCGGGAGGCTGAGGCAGGAGAATTGCTTGAACATGGGAGGTGGAGGTTGCAGTGAGCCGAGATTGTGCCAGTGCATTCCAGCCTGGGTGACAGAGCAAAACTCTGTCTCTAAAAAAAAAAAAAAAAAAAAAAAACCAAAACTTAAAGTAAATAATAGCGTGTATGAAAATGCTTAACATAATAAGTGATCACTTAGTCACATCTATCTTCCACTTCCTATGTGACAACAACTGGAATTTCCTATTGCTTTTTCTCCCTTTTCTTTGAAGGATTTTGGTCTGGTTGGAAATACATTAAAAAAAAAAAAAAGAAAAGGCAGATTTCAAAATGAAATGAAAATATATCTCATCTTATCTCTTAAGAGTTTTCAAGGTAATACCAAACTTGTTAGAAATACAGTGATTTTAAAGTGAGAATTTCTCAGTTTCTTTCCTTTTATTCATCTTTTATTTTGTATACTTTTTAGAGACTGGGGTTTTTATTTCTAAATTTTAGTGCCAAACTATAGGATACATCACATCAATACTGTGTGTGTTTGGTTAATGAATAACCAGTCTTGATTACTGCATGGTATTGTAATAAAAATCCATTTGCTTTTCTGTAGTTTATAACAAGTCTTCCTACATTTTGTCTCATCTGGTGCTCTTTCTAATAGCCCAGTGTGTGTTATCTTCAGGTTACCCTCACTCAGGTGAGTAATCTCAAGGTGACTGGTTTAAGGAATCATCTCAAGATTACATAATAGTTTTTTGAAATAGTGTTTAGAAATAAAAGCAAGTTTATGTGGAGACTTATACCTTTGCTACGCATAGCTACAAATTTAGCTCAAAGCTCTATGGCAGTTCAGTTTTTCCAGTTACATTTCAGAGATTATGTGTTACAGGCTGAGAACAAGAACTTAAGAGAACAAGTACCCACAGGTCTTCTAACTGCGAAACCTATGCTCTTTCTAGTGTGTAATCCTATTCCTCTATTTACTGTCTTTGGAACCCAGCTTAGTTTCAGGTTAAAAGTCTTTGAAGCCTCTAGGTCTGACGGTTAAAACCTTGTGTCAGGTTCTCACTTTCCACAGGTGTTTTCAGTAGTATAAAAAGGCAGATTTCAAAAGGCTTTTTTTTTTTTTTGGTTAAAAGATTACTATTGAAGGGATCTTTAAAAAAACAATTAAGAAGGGCTGGGTGTGGTGGCTCACGCCTGTAATCCCAGCACTTTGGGAGGCCGAGGCGGGTGGATCACGAGGTGAGGAGATCAAGACCATCCTAGCTAACACGGTGAAACCCCATCTCTACTAAAAATATAAAAAATTAGCTGGGCGTGTTGGTGGGCACCTGTAGTCCCAGCTACTCAGGAGGCTGAGGCAGGAGAATAGCGTGAACCCGGGAGGCGGAGCTTGCAGTGAGCTGAGATGGCGCCACTACACTCCAGCCTGGGTGACAAAGCGAGACTCCGTCTCAAAAAAAAAAAAAAATTAATATTTCTGATATTATTTAGAGAGATAGATTCTGTGCTCTACAAAGATTACTTTTTAGAATAAATAGGTCAGTTACTTAAACATATCCCTAAAATTGGTTCTTTGGCTTGTATATTTTGAAGTCAGTGGCTTCTTGTTCCTGGTTTTTAGCTGACATTCTTTTGGCATGCTTTACTAGTTGAATAGTTCCTCAATAAATACTTGCTGCTGTACAACATGGAAAAAGATAGGGGCAGTTCTAGAGATAAAGGATACAAGTATTTGTGTTCCAATCCATGCAGGTAAAAATGACTAAACCAGAAATGTAAATGAGGCAGGCCAAACCAAAGATTACAAGATTAAAGAACAAGGGCTGAAATTCAGGCCCAGCGCGGCGGCTCACGCCTGTAATTCCAGCACTCTGGGAGGCCGAGGCAGGCAGATCACCTGAGGTCAGGAGTTTGAGAGCAGCCTGGCCAACATGGCGCAACCCCATCTCTACTAAAAATACAAAAAAATTAGCTGGGCGTGGTGGCACGCGCCTGTAGTCCCAGCTACTTGGGAGGCTGAGGCAGGAGAATAGCTTGAACCCAGGAAGCGGAGGTTGCAGTGAGCCGAGGTCATGCCACTGCACTCCAGCATGGGCAATAGAGCGAGACTCTGTCCCCCCGGAAAAAAAGAACAAGGGCTAAATTCAAATCAAATTTTCCCTGTACCCTAAGAAAAATAATTAGGCCGGGAGATGTTTGACTAAGTGAGTAGGCATTGTTCTGTGACGGTCTGAGCCCCAGACCTTTCCTCTGGATGAATGCTGTCCCAGGTAATGAAATGACTTCACTTATTAATATATAGGTACACAGAGTTCAGGTAGATGTGGAATGAATGGGGACTCGCCCCGTCTGCCCTTGAATGTATTTAGTGGTTTATGTGAAATGTACCTTTCAAAGTTGTCTGTATGTTTCATACTCTGGGGGTGGGAATATAAATCATTGCAGCCTTTTTGTAGGGCACTTTGGCAGTACTCATCAAAATATGCGATGTGCAGATGCTTAGCCAGCAACTCCGCTTCTATGAATCTAGCCAACAGAAATACTTGTAGAAGTGTGCAGCTATAAATGTCCACAGAGGCTCAGAGCCTCATTGTTTTTAATAGTGAACAGTTGGAAACCAAATAGATGTCTGTCAGTAGGGATGTGGCAGAATTGTGGCATGTTTATATGGGTATAGAAAGTATGGAGGAACATAGACCCAACTGTTGGTAAGAGTTATCTCTGGATGCAGGAATAGGTAGGGGTTGATGGGTACAGGGTCTCTACTTTGCATAATTTTGGGGCCACTGTTCACATAGAACATTTGCGATGGAGTGGTGCTCCTCGATTCGTTTAATGGAGAGGGTTTGGATGTGCTTTTGCTTTTTATTTAACACATGGGTATATTACTTTTCTTTTTCTGCAAAGAGCACTTATTAATTTTATAGTTTTTTAAATTGGCTTTGCCCGCTTCAGTAGTCACAGGTAGCTACCTGACCGAGAAGCCGACTTGGGAATTACTGTTACTCGTGGGTGATACTGTCATAAAGGGGTTGAAAGTACTTGTTAGCTGTATATGTCAGAATTGATTAAAGAGAACCAACTATTCTTGTGCAAGGGATGGTATTGTAGTTAATTATGACATTTGGAGAAACTAATTTCTGTCTGTCGACACTATCTCTGTTCCATTTAGACTTAGAGACTTACATGGGCAATGCTTGACTTTTTGCATTCAGCACAGAAAGTTAAGTAATCCACTGTGGTAAAATATTAACTAAATTTATATGACTTCTTGACTGCTGTAAGTAGAGAATATTTATCATATAAGCACCATTTTCCTGAATTTTTTGTTACTACATATTTTATCTTACTGTCACTATTGTGTAAAATCTTTGAAAGGAAAATGAATACTGTGTAATAGTTAAACCCATTCATAGGTTGCAATAGAGTGTCAGCCAAATGTGTCATACATCAAATCTTCAGCAGCTTTTGCATAATCCAGGAGAATTGAATAATAGTTGAAGTTAATTTTGCCAGTGAAATGTAGGGAAAGAAAAATGTTTGAAATTTAAATTATTCAGATAGCTAAATTCTTAATCCTAAAATTTAAACCCCTTAATTCTGTCTGTAGTGTTATATCAAGACTTTTTGATAGTCATGAAACTGAGTAAAACTTTATTCAGATTACTTAAAAACAGCTTTTCCTGTGGTTAATAACACCTTTATTTTGAACAGAGTACTCTTAAGCAACTTATATTGTGCTGATTAAAGATTTAATCTGTGCATATTTTTTATCCTGTTGTTTATTTAGTTTTGATAACTGTGAAATAAACCATAATTAAATCACAAAAGTCACCTGCCTCTTTTGTTTCCCTGGAAATTTGGCCAAATTTTTTTTAACGGAAAGTTCTGCTAATGAAAATTGGGAAATTGGAGACATATATTATTTTGACTGTGTGTCCTCTGTCATTAAAGATGGACTATACTAGCTGGGTGTGGTTGCTGATGCCTATAATCCCACCACTTTGGGAGGCCAAGGCAGGTAGACGGCTTGAGCTCAGGAGTTCGAGACCAGCCTGGCCAACATGGTGAAACCCCGTCTCTACTAAAAATACAAAAAATTATCCGGTCGTGGTTGCGGGCACCTGTAATCCCAGCTCCTCGGGAGGCTGAGGGAGGAGAATCGCTTGAACCTGGGAGGAGGAAGTTGCAGTGAGCCGAGATTGTGCCATTGCACTCCATCCTGGGCAACAAGAGGAAAACTGTATCTCAAAAACGAAAAAAAAAAAAAAAAATAGAGCTGGGCGTGGTGGCATGTGCCTGTGGTCCCAGCTACTCAGGAGGCTGAGGTGGGAGGATCGCTGGGGCCCAGGAGGCAGAGGTTTCAGTGAGCTGAGATCATGCCGCTGCACTCCAGCCCGGGCAACAGAGAGAGCCTGTCTCAGAAAAAAAAAAAAAAAAAGATGGAATATACCGATTTTTACTCTAAACAACAACTTTGAATTAAGTTTTTGTGATTTTTAAAAACATCTAGATAGGAGAGATGCCAGAATTTTTAGAAATTCTAGATGAATGAGGAAGTATGCAATTGAGGATTGGTTTACAGATGTGATTGTGTGGACTTTAAAGGGATCAAGGTGAGTGTGCTGTTGAATTTCTCTGGCCGGAGCACATATATTGGAAATTGTTATTTAACAGTTGCTCAGATGACTCCTAGTTGGTTAGTCACGGTAGTTGATAGGAGTCGTTTAGAGAACAACCCTGTCCCTTGTCTACAGATTAGCAGTCATCAGCAGCCGGACCAGGAGGTGTGTGGGAGGTGCTCAGGCCCATCCTGGAGTCCGGGACAGAGTCAGCAGTGCTTGTTGCCTGCAGTTCAGAAAAGCCTGAATTACTGTTCCACCACATGCCTGCGTGCGTAGCATGAGTGTGTGTGCGCTGTTACCTACACCCTGTGCTGCCTGAAATTGAAAGCGCTTTTCCTGTTCGGTGGTTTGTCCTATTTTTATTTTAAATTGTCCTGGTAAATTTTAACATCAAGTTGAGATTACTTATGAGTTGGCAGAGACTGGCTAAGATAAGTGACTAAGGAAGACAATAAGAAGAAAGGTGAGCTGGATAATCCAGCATTCTGGAAAGCCATAGGAGAAATCCTAAGGAAATAGAAAAGGCAAATCTTAAGCTAACAGTTAAACAGACAGATATAGCACTAGAGAAAATGCTAAGACATGTCTTTCCCTTGACTTCTCTCGAATATTTCAGATGGAGGGTGGCTAGTTCATGGCCTGTTTGGCTTGTTTCTCCCCATTTGGAGAGATGGTAGCCTAATTTATCTCTCAGAAATGTAGGACTTCCCTGAAGGCCGACTTGCTTTCATTGTAAATAATCAACTACACATCTGAAAGGGTTTCGGTGGAGGAGCACGGGACTGAGAATTAGGGGATTAAGGTTCTGCACGGCCATGTCCTTCAGTAACGGTATAACCTCAGATGTGCCTTTAGATGTACAGGAACCCCCTTTCAGTCTGAAAAATGAAGGGTGGGAAGGTTTCCAGGGCCATTTTACTGTCTAAGCTGGTCTTGAGGCTGCATTTAGTGCATAAGATCAGGGGCTAGAGGCCAGGTGTGGTGGCTCACGCCTGTAATCCCAGCACTTTGGGAGGCCGAGGCGAGTGGATCCCGAGGTCAGGAGTTTCAGACCAACCTGACCAACATGGTGAAACCCCATCTCTACTAAAAATACAAAAATTAGCCGGGCGTGGTGGTGCACGCCTGTAATCCCAGCTACTCCAGAGGCTGAGGCAGGAGAATTGCTTGAACCTGGGAGGCGGAGGTTGCATTGAGCCTAGATTGCCTGCCACTGCACTCCAGCCTGGGTGACAGAGTGAGACTCTGTCTCAGAAAAAAAAAAAAAAATCAGGGGCTAGATTTTGGGAAGCCTCCCCTCCATGCAGAGCCCCCTCATTTCCTGACCATCTCCGTCTCTGTCATGGGCACCCATCACAGTCATCGTACGCACATCCCCACCCTCACTGCCCTCCTTTGCGTAGCCTAGTGTCTTGCACATGGCACGTGGCCAATACATTGTCATTGAATGAATGGATTTTATGTACTCTTTGGAGATCTCCTCTTGCCTTTCTTTCGTGCTGGTGAATTTCTTAGATCACCATGTTGCCTGCTGTAGCCTAGTAGGTATCATACTAATTTTGTAGACCACTTTTCCGTGGTTGATATTGTAAGTTAAATTTCTGTTCATAAAAAATGTAGCCATTAGATTAACGTTTTCTATTTTTGTTAATGCTCTTTCGCAGGGGTCTTGCTCCTCAGAACAAACCAGAATTGCAGAAGGTGATGGAAAAAAGAAAACGAGACCAAGTAATAAAGCAGAAGGAAGAAGAAGCACAGAAGAAGAAATCTGACTTGGAAATAGAGCTATTAAAACGGCAGCAGAAGTTGGAGCAGGTAAGGGGGATTGGCTGGAAGCTGTCTTTTTTTGTTTTTGTCTTGAAGAATGTTGGAGTGTTGGAGCGGGCAGGATTTACCAGACGTGCCAGTGTATACATTTATACCATGAAAGAAATATTGGAGACAAATGTCAGCAAATGGGGTCAAATATGTTCAAGGCAGGGACAAGAATCCTACTGAGGACCTAAAAGAGATCCCAGAGGCAAAAGCAAAACAGGGACATGGCACTGAATTCACACAGGGTGCTGGAGTAATTTAATGAAATTCACTTTCATGAAGACTCCAGAGCAACTGCGCGTTGACTCCAGGATTTGTTTCCTTAGCCCTGTCTTTTCAATTCTTGTCATCTCGTGGTCCTATTTGCAGTGACAGCCAAGTGGCTTCTGTTTCTGTGCACAATTACCCAGACTCTATCCATCCATTTCTTTAAAAGTGGGGGACCAGGAGAGAATTTATTCTGTGGGGAAGTAAAGTTGTCAGGGACTTTGAAAAGAGAGAAGAGTATTTTGAAAGGCTGCTTGGTTTGTAAATAATTTTTCCTTTTCTGAATGTCATTTAGCTTGAACTTGAGAAGCAGAAATTGCAAGAAGAGCAAGAAAATGCCCCCGAGTTTGTGAAGGTGAAAGGCAATCTCAGGAGAACAGGCCAAGAAGTCGCCCAAGCCCAGGAGTCCTAGGCTGAGGCTGCACCAAGACCTCGTGTGTCACCCCACAGAGCTGTCTGTGGGTGCCTTCTCAATCTCAGGGCAAAAGCCCCTGGAGAATATTTCAGCCAGCAGAGAATTTTGACTTGCAGTAGGATTTGGTTTGATTTTCCTACGATCTGGGTGGATGCCTTGCCTGTGACAGTTGCAGTTCCTATTCGCCAAATGAAGGGCAGTGCCCCGCACGTAAGTTGGAATGATGGACCTGTGTTCAGAGACTTAACAGAACCAACAAGCAAAACAAGTGAGAACAGGAAAAAGGAAGAGGACACTGGAATCAATTCTTGAGAGTTGCACTACTTGGTTTTTCTTCCATTCCAAGTTTCGTGGGACCCAGAGCCTTTTTTCTTTTAAAAGCTAAAAAACAAGTGTTTAATTCCTCTTTTTGTTATCTGTTAGATAATTGAGATCACCTAGAAATGCGTTTAATCTGTTCACTCACTGTAAATTTTGAGGACCCAGAATTGTCTTGTTTAATTTATACTTTCACCCCTGTTGCAGTTAACACCAGAGAAGGAACGTGAATGTCGAGCACAGCCACTACCCTTGTTGGCACTTAATTTAGAAATAGGGTGAGAAGTTTAAAAGCCCATCTTGATTTTATTTTCATTCCTTTTGGTTCTCTGTGTAATAATAGCAGGCTACATAGTGACATTCCAGTTCCAAGAAGGTACATCCTGTCCATTCATTAATTGCTTTGATTACTAGGAGGGTTTCTGTTCAGTTTTGTTTTTAAATGTCTTGCTGATCTAGTTCTTTCAGATGGAATAACCTTCCAGTCCCTTAGAGAGTGGAACTAGTCCATATAACCCAGCTTCAGTAGCAAAAGTAGAAGCCGCCACATCTTTTCATTTCTCCAAGAGGAGAGTGGGGAAGGTTCCCATGACCAGCTGGGCAGTCAGGATTTCTCTAGGCATTCTAATGTGAAATAAGTGTAGACTGCTGTCAAGGAGGCTTCATCAGAAGATGTATAGCATTTGAATGTCTAATGATAATGCATATCATTAGAATCCAAGCTTTGAAAATTTCTGATTAATGCTCATGTATTTCTTTATCTTTGTTTTTCCTTGTGAAGAAAGACTTTCACCACTGTCTGAGTGATGATGCTGTTGATAAGGATGATGTCGATGACTACTATATTGCATCTCTCAGGAACAGCTGATGGGAAGGGAGGGGCTGCTGAGTTCCCTTGTTCTAGCTAGCAGCACGCTCCTCAGAGAGGGGGCCGAGTTACAGACAGCAGCCGCATTCTCATGCAAAATTAGTTTTAAACTGCTAGTGTGGGCATCGGTACCTTTTGCCTGGGTGATACCGAAGAATTGTTGAGGATTTAGTATGCTCCGTAGAGACAGTTCAGCCAGTCATTTCTGCATTGGAGAGACTTCTCATACTTTCTTTGAAGACTCATAGAAAGCTGGATCTAGAGCTTTTGAATCCTTAATTAGCACAGTAGAAATTAGCTTTCTATGGGAATGCTTTAGTGTTAGCAGTTGACAATTAGGCCCATATTCAATCTGAATGGGAACAAAAGTAAATGCAATGATAATATACTGCTAGTTAGAGAAACATGTTAGTTGATTATACCTGAAATGGATTATTTATCTCATCAGCAAGTATTATTTGAATAAAATGAGAAATGCTTAAGAAAAATTGTTGCTCTACAGTAATTTGGTTTCGAAGAATGGAATGGTAACTATTTTTTCCCATCGTTCTTTTGAGAGAAGGAAGTGTGATGACTGATGATCTTGAAAAGCCCATTTCTGATTGCACGTTGACTGGAATTCTTTCTTTGTGTCTGTGGACTAGCGATGCTGTTTGTAAAATGAAGATTCGGGACTGGCTCATATCTTTTTATCTAACTAGATGTCAGATCTTGAAATCTGTATTCTCGAAGCAATTCTGCCACTTGATCGTATTCACAGGGGCCCTGGTAGGCTCCTTTAGAAGGACCATTTCTGTTCCTAGAGCTTAACTAGAATTCATTCTTCACTGAAAAAAAAAAAAGTTACTTAAGAAAGCATTTCTTTCCTAATCTCACTCAAATCTGCAGAATTATTTGTAATTAGTAATACAAAATCTGGCCAAAAGGAGACTTGTAAATAGCGTAAAGTGGTGTCTTATGCTAAACGGTGGAATGTATAGGCAGAGAAGCTCTTTGAAGTTGTCAGATGAGCTGGGCTCACAAGCCTGATTCAAACAGGCTGTCGGTCTCCTCTCACCCCTTAATACTGTGCAGCCCAAACTCCTAGGACTCTTGAACATCTGAGCAGTTTTGTGCTTTGAGCCACTTTTTGACAAAAATGGCTCCATTTTTCCACAGCGTGGTTTTCTTAAAATAGTTTAATGTTTTATAGTCTCATAGTAGTAGTGTTGCTTTCTAAGCTATAACAGTCGACTTTATTCTTCTACTCTGAAAAATCTTGACTTGTTTGAGTGTATATAATATATATAAAGGGAGCCTTAATGGATTGGTTTTCATAATTTAATATTTTTTGTATTTGCTCTTGTATAATTGTTTTTAACGGAAAGTATTAAAGAATTGAGGGTGGAATTCTTAGAACCAAAGTTATTCTTAATAAAAATCACCACATGCTTGGACCATGCAACCATGTTTGTCTGATCTGTTGAAGGTGTGCATCTGGAACAGAACGGGGCTGGGTTCATTTCAAAGGTGAGAGTTGGTTCCAGGGTCTCCCTTTTGATGACTGGTCCTCATTGACAACCTTGCCCCCAAATCACTTATGTCCTATTGCCTTGTGGCAGTCAAGCTGACAGTTTGTCATATCAAACAGAGTCATCTCAGGTATTTATGGCACTGTAAATTACACATTGCAGTAGGCCATATGGCCCTTCAGCAGCAGCCATCAGTCAGTCCTCAGCTCAAAGTATTCTGCATTTTAGATAGCTTGGTAGGACAGTGGGAGACATGTTTTGGGAAGGGCCATTGTTCAGTGCGTTTGACCCCAGTACATACGGCATGTCTGAAGTGTGATTATGAGGTTTTTTTTGCTTATTCAAGTAAATTAATGTTATTCCTCAAAGAAGTTACTTTGGAAAGGTATACGCCTGATTGCATTATACTACTGGTATACTTTGGAGGTTCAAGTCTCTTTATAATTATGCCTTTATTTTTCAACTACAAATTATTACTCAGTTTGATCACCCAACTTCTAGTGTCTTTGGACTTTTTTAAAATATTATATCTACTCAGGAGAGTAAAAATTTACTATCTCTAAGGTTATACCATGAACTCTAAAGCCAGTGCAGAAGATAGATTCCAAAAATCATTTGAGGAGTAGCTGCATCCTTGGAATAACTAGGCAGTTTGTCCCGGTGACTGTGTTGAGGCTGTCAATCCATTTAATTCGACCACTTCCCCAATCTCTCTCTCTTTCTCTCTCTCTCTCTCTCTGTGTGTGTGTGTGTGTGTGTGTGTGTGTGTGTGTGTGTGTGTTTTACAGTAGTGGTAATAGATTTGAAAGAAGACAGGGCAATTAAAGTGTTTAGTAAGATTTAAAATACTGTAGGACAGCTAAAAGAAGTTTTAAAATAATACTACCCGGCATACATTTCCTAGTATAATAAGAGATGAAGTATTTTACTTCCAGGGTCTTCGGATAAATAAAATCTTTATGAGCTAGCCTAACAATCACAGTTTCTACTTCGTTTTGTCTCATGAGAAAACATAGTCTGATTATCAATTGGGGATCCTTTGAATATCTTCCCACTTGCTCCTAGATTTTCTAGCAAGATGATAATTAGCACTTGCCGTGGCACAAAGGGCACTCGCTCACTCATTTATTGAAAGTGTATCCATTGCTACTGCAGTCCTGCTATTCCTAGAAACCCTCAAACTATATATGTGCATGTGTGTCTAAGTGTAAATATGTATGCACACATTTGTATTGATGTTTATTTTTATATCTATATAGAATATCATGAGGTCGGGCCAGGTATGGTGGCTCACGCCTGTAATCCCAGCACTTTGGGAGGCCAAGGCGGGTGGATTGCTTGAGATCAGGAGTTCAAGACCAATCTGACCAACATGGCAAGACCCCGTCTCTACTAAAAATACAAAAATTAGCCAGGCGTGATGGCACGTGCCTGTAATCCCAGCAACTCGGGAGGCTGAGGCAGGAGAGAATCACTTGAACCTGGGAGGCGGAGGTTACAGTGAGCCAAGATCACACCACTGCACTCCAGCTTGGGTGACGGAGCGAGACTCCGTCTCAAAAAAAAAAAAAAAAAGAATATCATGAGGTCACGTTGATACCTCCAATCCCAACCTAGTGGCATGTTCTTTTCCCCCTTTCCGAATTTGTCACTCCCTCCTCCTACAGTGACAACCCTGGCTTCCACTGTCTCCACTCATTTATTTTCTCAATCCCCTGACCTTCTTCAGCCGCTTTCACCTCCCAGGCACTGCCTAGTGGCTTTGTGACTGAATTAGGAAGGAAGGGAGAAAGAAAACAAACGGCAATTTTTCTTGAGCGTTTAAACATGTATTGCTAATTAAATTAATTAAATCGCCTCAAACAGCCTAAAGTGCGGCTATAGATTGAGTATACCTGATTGTTTGAAACCTTGTAAACTCCTTAAACATTATGTAAACTATACTTGAACACAATGGTTAGCACATTTTAAAAATAACTTACCCATTTAAAAAATCAAAATCAAGTTTTATGTCCATTATTACTGTTTTTGAAATAGAGTCTCTCTGTTACCAAGGCTGGAGTGCAATGGTGTGATCACAGCTCACTGCAGCCTTGACTGCCTGGGTCAAGTGCTCCTCTCGCCTCAGCCATCTAAGTAGCTGGAACAACAGTTACACACCACCATGCCTGCTAATTATTTTTTTGTAGAGACAAGGTCTCACTATGTTGCCCAGACTGGTCTGGAACTCCTGGCCTCAAGGGATCCTCCTACCTTGGCCTCCCAAAGTGCTGGGATTACAGGCATGAGCCACCATGCCTGGCCATTTTTCCATTAGTTTTATACTTTTAAAAACACTTTCCTACTACTATGACCATGTTTATTTTATTTTATTTTTTTATTATTATACTTTAAGTTTTAGGGTACATGTGCACAATGTGCAGGTTGGTTACATATGTATACATGTGCCATGCTGGTGTGCTGCACCCACTAACTGGTCATCTAGCATTAGGTATATCTCCCAATGCTATCCCTCCCCCCTCCCCCCACCCCAAAACAGCCCCCAGAGTGTGATGTTCCCCTTCCTGTGTCCATGTGTTCTCATTGTTCAATTCCCACCTATGAGTGAGAATATGCGGTGTTTGGTTTTTTTGTCCTTGCTATAGTTTACTGAGAATGATGATACTCCAGTTTCATCCATGTCCCTACAAAGGACATGAACTCATCATTTTTTATGGCTGCATAGTATTCCATGGTGTATATGTGCCACATTTTCTTAATCCAGTCTATCATTGTTGGACATTTGGGTTGGTTCCAAGTCTTTGCTATTGTGAATAATGCCGCAGTAAACATACGTGTGCGTGTGTCTTTATAGCAGCATGATTTATAGTCCTTTGGGTATATACCCAGTAATGGGAAGGCTGGGTCAAATGGTATTTCTAGTTCTAGATCCCTGAGGAATCCCCACACTGACTTCCACAATGGTTGAACTAGTTTACAGTCCCACCAACAGTGTAAAAGTGTTCCTATTTCTCCACATCCTCTCCAGCACCTGTTGTTTCCTGACTTTTTAATGATTGCCATTCTAACTGGTGTGAGATGCTATCTCATTGTGGTTTTGATTTGCATTTCTCTGATGGCCAGTGATGGTGAGCATTTTTTCATGTGTTTTTTGGCTGCATAAATGTCTTCTTTTGAGAAGTGTCTGTTCATGTCCTTCGCCCACTTTTTGATGGGGTTGTTTGTTTTTTTCTTGTAAATTTGTTTGAGTTCATTGTAGATTCTGGATATTAGCCCTTTGTCAGATGAGTAGGTTGTGAAAATTTTCTCCCATTCTGTAGGTTGCCTGTTCACTCTGATGGTAGTTTCTTTTGCTGTGCAGAAGCTCTTTAGTTTAATTAGATCCCATTTGTCAATTTTGGCTTTTGTTGCCATTGCTTTTGGTGTTTTAGACATGAAGTCCTTGCCCATGCCTATGTCCTGAATGGTATTGCCTAGGTTTCCTTCTAGGGTTTTTATGGTTTTAGGTCTAACGTTTAAGTCTTTAATCCATCTTGAATTGATTTTTGTATAAGGAGTAAGGAAGGGGTCCAGTTTTAGCTTTCTACATATGGCTAGCCAGTTTTCCCAGCACCATTTATTAAATAGGGAATCCTTTCCCCATTTCTTGTTTATGTCAGGTTTGTCAAAGATCAGATAGTTGTAGATATGCGGCGTTATTTCTGAGGGCTCTGTTCTGTTCCATTGATCTATCTATATGTCTGTTTTGGTACAAGTACCATGCTGTTTTGGTTACTGTAGCCTTGTAGTATAGTTTGAAGTCAGGTAGTGTGATGCCTCCAGCTTTGTTCTTTTGGCTTAGGATTGACTTGGTGATGCGGGCTCTTTTTTGGTTCCATATGAACTTTAAAGTAGTTTTTTCCAGTTCTGTGAAGAAAGTCATTGGTAGCTTGATGGGGATGGCATTGAATCTATAAATTACCTTGGGCAGTATGGCCATTTTCATGATATTGATTCTTCCTACCCATGAGCATGGAATGTTCTTTCATTTGTTTGTATCCTCTTTTATTTCCTTGAGCAGTGGTTTGTAGTTCTCCTTGAAGAGGTCCTTCACATCCCTTGTAAGTTGGATTCCTAGGTATTTTATTCTCTTTGAAGCAATTGTGAATGGGAGTTCACTCATGATTTGGCTCTCTGTTTGTCTGTTGTTGGTGTATAAGAATGCTTGTGATTTTTGTACATTGATTTTTGTATCCTGAGACTTTGCTGAAGTTGCTTATCAGCTTAAGGAGATTTTGGGCTGAGACAATGGGGTTTTCTATATATATAATCATGTCGTCTGCAAACAGGGACAATTTGACTTCCAGTTTTCCTAATCGAATACCCTTTATTTCCTTCTCCTGCCTAATTGCCCTGGCCAGAACTTCCAACACTGTGTTGAATAGGAGTGGTGAGAGAGGGCATCCCAATCAATAGAAAAAGAGGGAATCCTCCCTAACTCATTTTATGAGGCCAGCATCATCCTGATACCAAAGCTGGGCAGAGACACAACCAAAAAAGAGAATTTTAGACCAATATCCTTGATGAACATTGATGCAAAAATCCTCAATAAAATACTGGCAAACCGAATCCAGCAGCACATCAAAAAGCTTATCCACCATGATGAAGTGGGCTTCATCCCTGGGATGCAAGGCTGGTTCAATATACGCAAATCAATAAATGTAATCCAGCATATAAACAGAACCAAAGACAAAAACCACATGATTATCGCAATAGATGCAGAAAAGGCCTTTGACAAAATTCAACAACCCTTCATGCTAAAAACTCTCAATAAATTAGGTATTGATGGGACGTATTTCAAAATAATAAGAGCTATCTGTGACAAACCCACAGCCAATATCATACTGAATGGGCAAAAACTGGAAGCATTCCCTTTGAAAACTGGCATATTTATTTTTATATTCTCCTACATATTCTGTTATACTGTCCTTTCTGGGCTTGCAGTAATTTTACCAAGACTAAAAGGAAAGAAATCCCCCCTCAGGCTAACTGAAGGAGCAAGATCTGGGTTCTTGACTGATTCTTAGGATGGAGGGCCTGGCAGCACAGTCCACGCTGCTGCAGTCATGGGCCATGGGCCCTGGACAAAGTCCTTCGTTAAAATTAATTCTTCCTTGCTTTGTCATGGAATTTTTAATATCTTGCCATTTCTTCTTTCATTTAGGAAACTTGGTGTCCTTCCCAGAAGTGGATGCTTTCATTTTGCATAGTCAGCCTGACCTACTCATTGTCTTGCCTTTTTATGATCTGTTGATCTTGTCCGTTAGTGTAATCGAAAACTTACATATGCCTGTGAATATCTCATGTAACTAGGATCATTTTGAGATTTTGTCTAGTAGAACCATCAAGTCTGTGTGGTGAACGCTTGTCCCTGAGATATTTGGCTATTTATTATCTTTGGACATAACTGCTGGATCCTCTTTTATTTGTGATCACATATGATCAAGTAGACTCCTTTATTTGTATTTATTATATGTGACCACTGATGACGATTTTATTTTGTTTTTTTGAGACAGAGTCTCAGAATTCTGTTATCCAGGCTGGAGTGCAGTGACGCGATCTTGGCTCACTGCAGCCTTGACCTCCCAGGCTCAAGCAATCCTTCCACCTCAGCCTCCCAAATAACTGGGACTACAGGCATGCACCACCATGTCTGGCTCATTTTTTTTTTATTTTTTTTTGTAGAGACAGGGTCTCACTATGTTACAGCTCAGGCTGGTCTTGAACTCCTGGCCTCAAGTGATCCTCCTTCCTCAGCCTCCCAAAATGCTGGGATGACAGGTATGTGCAACTGCGCCTGGCTTCTTTTGTCTGTTTGTACTATGTTTTTCTAGTTTATCTTATGATTTTGTTTATTCCTATAAGGATAGCTAGAAACAAACACATGTCTATGGTTTATGAAAATGTATATTCTTCATACAACATATAAAATGTCCACACATATATGAATAGTCCCTTAGCTATATCCTATAATCATCTTAATTTTGTATTACAACTCCTTTTTCTCTTGGAGTCTCTATGAATGTGTGTCCCTTTATAGACTCACCTTATAATTTTCATCTCCTTTTTTGGATGCTCAGAATATTACAGCTTGACTGGTGGAAGTCCTTCAAGCTTATTCTTTTGTTTTTGTGGGGTTTTGGTTTTTTTAAAAGTAAAATATTGCTTTTGACAGTTATGGCAGCATCCTTACTTTGTTACAACAATAGGATGTTTGGGGCCATCCTAATTTTTTTTTTTTTTTTTTTTTCTGACGCAAGACATAGGACTGTGTGCCTTTCAAGAAGTCCTGGTTTCTTTTTTGATGAAGAGTAGAAACAGAGATGATCTGGCACTAGAGGTGCACAAGAGAGTTGCTAGTGGACAAAAGTGTCCTTGCACCTGTAGTAATGACAGAGCTAAAGAATGTGAACTCATCCTTGTTTTTCCATTTCAACCCTTTATGTGGTTCTACCTTATTTTTCTTATGAGATCTTATTAAACCAGAAATATTTCCATTACACTTAGAAAGATTAGTTGCGATATTTTCTTTACAGATAAGAGTTATGAAAGGGAATTTACCAGACCAGATACCGAAACACACCTTCAAGCAACAGTAATTTAACTGGCCCAATATTGTCTCAGAGAAGACAAATTGTTCAATGGAGTGGCATAAAAAGTCCAGAAAATGACTGACTTGCGTGTCAAAATTTACAATGATTGAGGTGGGATTTTATTTCAGATCAGTTAGGAAAGGGTAAACAATTCAGTGAAAAGTTTTGGGGCAACTGGAACGAAACAAATATATATTCCTCTACATAAGAATCATTTCCAAGTTTATTAGTGTTCAGCATAAAAATAAAACTGTAGAATTATTAGAAGAAATTATAAGGGAATATTTCTATAATCCTAGTGTTGGAGGAGGCTTTCCTAAGCATAACATTTAGCCCAAAATCTATAATGAAGAAAACTGACAGATTTAACTAGTGAAAATTAAATGCTTTTGTACAAGAAAGATGTAAGAAAGGTTAAGTGTCACAGACTAAGGCATATTACATATACAGCAATACCTGGATTACATACAGAATGTCTGTAAATGTTAATCCAGTAAAAATATATATATATATGAACAGGTAATTCACAGAAGATGGAATACAAATTGTCGATCAACATATGAAGAGATGCTCACTCACTACTATCAGGAAAATGCAAACTAAACCAACAACGAAGTAACTTTATACAAATATTCACAAGGCAAATATTTAAAAGACTGATAATAGCTATGGTTGGTGAGGATGTAGAGAAGCATGTATTATATATACAACATCAGGGGAAGTGCAAATTAGTAAAGCCAATTTAAAAACATATTTTCACATGCTCTAGAATGGATATAACAAAAACGATATACAAATACAAGTGTTGACTAGGATGTGGAAAACTTGAATCCCTTGTTTTATTGCTGGTGAAAATGTAATGGCATAGGTACTTTGGAAAAGTTTGACAGTTTCTTAAGGAGTTAAACAGATTTATCATATGACCCAGCAATTCCGCTCCTAAGTATTTACCCAAGAGAAATGAAAACATACAACCACACACAGAGTCTTGCGCACAAATGTTTATAGCAAGATTATTCATAATAAAGTGTGGAAGAACCCCAAAGGTCCAAGAATTGATAAATGGACAAGCAAATGTGGTATGGCCACACAGTAGAATATTCTTCAGCCATAAAAAGGAACAAAGTACCAATAAATGCTACAACATGGATAAACTGTGAAACAATAAAACTTAAAAAAGTGCACATATCTTTTGACACGCCAATTGCATTTCTAGGAATGTGACCTTAAGAAATACTTATGTGCATAGAGATTGTTCTTCAAAGACATGTGTGGCCAGGTGTGGTGGTGTGCACCTGTAGTCATAGCTACTCTGAAGGCCAGGGTGGGAGGATCACTTGAGCCCAGGAGTTCCAGACGAGCCTGGGCATCATAGAGCAAACATTTGTTGGGCAAACATTTTTTGTCTCTAAAAAAGAAAAAAAGAAATATTTACAGCATTTATCATAATTTATCTTGCAAGCACCCTGCTTATCTAGTAGTAGTTTGCTAGATTAAGTCTAGTACATTCCCATTCTCTTTATGGACTATAATGCAGCTTTTAAAAGAACAAAATATATTATTATACATATACATAAATAAGGCTTTGAAGCTATACCCCATGAATATGTACAACTATTTTGTATCCAAAATAATTAAAAATAAAAAAATTATAAACTAAAATTCCTGAAAATAAGTATTGACCCAAATAGCCTATAAACTGAAAGAGAAAATGATATTTCTCTTAGAACACACTTTCATTTTTCTCCCTGAAGAAACCTGAAAACATTTATGGACAGACCTTTTTGTTTTTCTGTTTGGATTGACCTGAAATAAAATTTTTATTATCAACAACAAAAAGCAAGCTGTGGAACAATAGACATATGATCTCATTTATATGAAAAAAATTTTAAGTATTCATATCCATACATCTATACAAATGCTTGCAAATAGGACTGGAAGTTTACCCAACATATTAACAGTGGCTACTTCTAGGGGAGGGAAGGAATTTAAGGCCAGAAATAGAGTGGCTTCTGTATGTAATCTGCATATTTGTGATCTTTTTTTTTTCCCAAGACAGGGTCTCACTGTCGCCCAGGCAATGAGTTGATCACAGCCCGCTGCAGCCTCAACCTCCCAGGCTCAGGTGATTCTCCTACCTCAGCTTCCCGTGTAGCTGGCACTACAGGCACTCGCCACCACACCTGGCTAATTTTTCTATTTTTTGTGGAGACGGTCTCTGACTATCTTGCCCAGGCTGGTCTCAAACTCCTGGGCTCAAGCAATTCACCCTCCTCAGCCTCCCAAAGTGCTGGGATTACAGGTGTAAGCCACCGCGCCTGACCAATATCAGTATGTATTTAAAATTGTATACAATCAGAATGAGTCCCTGAATCACGAGTGTTTAAAACGGCATAAAAGCAAAGCTTAGAAACTAAGTCTGCTTAATACAAAACTATCCCTTAAATTCTAAACACTGTTAATTTCATAATTATTGACGTGTACAGTGAACACCCCATGAAAGAATACAAGAGCGGTTTCAATGTTCCCCAAACATGCAGACCTATAGTTGAAATCATCGAAGGGAAAAAAGATCTAGCGAAAAAATAGAAGCTCTGACTCCAGAGCGGCACTGAGAAATGTTTCGAGCTTTTGCCAACCCCGTAAGGGTGGAACAAAGACCTGAGCTGGGGCTCCTCGTAAGTGACCCGAGGGGTGTAGGTTTCGCCATGAAAACAGCATTGCCCTTTAGAGTTTTCCGCTGCTCCTGGGACTCCAGTGACTGCGGTTACAGCCCTCTGGTTTTCCTCCTATTGTTTTCATTGGCCGGGGTCTAAGCGACTTGGAAGTGAGGAATCGGGAGCTCTGTAATGAAATACTGCTACTCGGTGCGCGCAGGGCCCTGGGAGAGCTCCAGCTTGGCCAGTCAAGGTCTTCTTGGCAGATGTTCTTTCTTGGATGACGATGGAATTCTCTTTCCCTTCTCCCTTGATACCAGGTGGGGCCTTCATCGTATTACTAAGAGTCGATTTATTACTCTTTCCGCTCCTTCTGGTTGAATACTTGAGATAGACGCTTAGGAAAGGAGCTAGCCAAGCCCTGGAGAAATGCTGACTCTTTGGATTTAATTTATGAGGCCTAATAGAAGCCGTCACAGAGGCTGGCTAAGGGTAGAATTAGCAGCAGAGAGTAGAGGCTGCAGCCTTCCCTGCTGTGACTTCATGGTTGAAGCTTGAGGTGCAATCTCATGGGGACCTCCTTGGTTGGTTGTCCGTGGTTATTTACTCATTTAAGAGGTTCCAGGAAATAATGGCACCTGTGTTAGCCAGGTGCCAACAAACAGTGAAAGTAGCATGATTAAAAACATTTACTGTGAGGCTGGGCACAGTGACTCAACGCCTGTAATCCCAGCACTTTGGGAGGCTGAGGCGGGCAGAACACTTGAGGTCAGGAGTTCAAGACCAGCCTGGCCAACATGGGGAAACCCCATCTCTGCTAAAAATACAAAAATTAGCAGGGTGTGATGGTGCGTGCCTGTAATCCCAGCTACTTCTGGAGGCTGAGGCAGGAGAATCGCTTGAACCTGGGCGGCAGAGATTGCAGTGAGCTGAGATTGCGCTACTGCACTCCAGCCTTGGTGACAGAGCAGGACTCTGTCTCAAAAAAGAAAAAAAAAAATGCCACCCAGGAGGGAAATACCTTACACAACAGGCTGTGAACCAGAATCAGGGTTTGGAGGATCCTCCATTAGAGCTGATAGCCAGCCTATAAGCTCAACGAAGAAAAATTCACTGTGCAAAGTCACATGCATGAAGGGAATATTCTAGCTGCTGCAATGTGGCTTTAATTCAGTGAGTTGGTGCTTTGCTCTCTAGGGGAACTTGCTGGAGTTTGCTCTCTTTCTTTCCATTCCCTTTTCCTTCCTCAGTGATTTCAGTGTTTCTCAGAGATAAGCGGTCAGATCAATTAGGCACACGTGCTTACTGAATATGTTGACAAGATATCTCGCTAGGAGCTAGTTCCAGCACTGGAGGTGTTTATAATCTTGTTCAGAGATGAGACATTGCATAAGATGTAATAAATAATAAGACATGAAATAAAATGCCACATGAATACTTCGAAGATAAGAACTATAGGAGCAAATTAAGAAAAGAAAATACACACACTAAATCAAATGGTTTTATTGTTAGATAGATGTTCGTATTAATGTTCTCCGAGGGAAGCCGTGGAAATTAATGGTTCAAATGATGTTTTAAATTAAATGTAAATTTTATTTCTTCTTGATCTTCCTCTGTGCTTCCCAGACTGTTCTTCAAAAAAATATGACTGAACAGTTTGAAAAGCCAGGTTTTTTGTGAGTAGCAGTAATAGGACACTGGGGAGAGGGAGAGCAGGAAGTGGGAACAGCAAATAAGCCTGCTGCCTCCCCGATGCACAACTGCTTGCAGTGTTGCTAGGAAACACCTGTCGTTTATATCCAAAGAACTTCCTGAGGTGCTTGAGGTTAGGCTATGGGTGAGTTTTGATTTGCGTCCTAGCATTGAAATCTGAAGACCTGTGTGGTTTGCTGTGGCGTAGTCAATAACAACGAAATGGCTGGCTGTCCCCATGCACCTGCTGCGGGTACCTGGTTGCAGGAATGAATGGGGCTCTGGGGAAGTGTGTGTTTCCTGCTCAGGCTGTGTGTTTATCCATTTTCATCACAATGCCCAGCATTGGGAATACAATGCTGAGCAAAATCATATCAGCCTCTGCCTTTTTGGAGCTTAAAATGGAGTGAGGAGACAAATATTATTCAAAGAATCACAGAAATGCATGTAAAATGACAACTGTAGTGAGTGGTACAAAGAGAAGGGCAGGGAGCTGTGAAAACAGGTGCCTCTGCACCTAATGGCTGATGAGCAGAACATTAGTCTCCAGCCATTGCTGCTCTCCATGTGCCAGGCACCATGCTCAGTGCTTAACATTTGGGATCTAATGGAATTCTCACCATATTCCTATGGGGGGAACCCTGTTGTCATCTCTACTATAGAGGAGAGGGAACTGAAGGTCACCAAAGTTAAGTACAGTGGTCCCTGCTTCTCCTTGGGGGTAAATTCCAAGACTCTCATTGGGTGCCTGAAACCATGGATAGTACCAAACCCTTTATATATTATGTTTCTTCCATCTGATAACCAAGATGGCTACTGAGTGACTAATGGACCAGTAGTGTAGACCTCGTGGATATCCTGGACAAAGGGAAGATTCCCATCCTGGGTGGGATGGGGTGAGATTTCATCACACTATTCTGAATGCCCTGTGATTAAAAACTTATGAATTGTTTATTTCTGGAATTTTCCATTGAATATTTTCGAACCGTGGTTGACTGTGGGTAACAGTCAAGCCATGTAAAGTGAAATCGCATATTAAGGTAGACTACTGTAACTGAACTGAAGGCCTTCTCCTCCAAAATTTCGCCCTCATCCACAGTCCCAGTCTTCGTAAATGGCACCACTTTCCATCCAGTCCTGTAATTTGGAAATTTGGGAGTCATCTTTGACCCAGCCTCACCCTCCATATCCAATGGAGTTCTTTCCACTCTACCTTGTAAATATCCAGTGAATTTCTCCACTCCTCTGCAATCCCACTACCCATTTTAGAACAGCAGCTTCCTGGTGGGTCCTCCTGTCACTTTTGCCTCAGTCTGCTTTGTGCTCTCCAAAGAAGTCCAAATGATCTTTAGCAAAGGCAAATCTGACTGTGTTCCTCCCTTGCTTGAAGACTTCCCATTGATTTTAGGGCAAAGACCAAAATCCTTAACATGGCCTCCAGGCCCATCATGCTCTGGCCCCTGCTTGCATCGCCAACTCCTCTTGTACCTCTGCCTTTGTTCTCCTTGTTCCAGACTTACCAGCCTCCTCTCTGCTCCAGGGCTTTCCCACCTACCAACTGCCTTTCCTCAAAGTTCTCATTCTCCCCTTTGTGCTTAGTTAACTCATGTTGGACCCTTAGATCCCAACTTCCTTAGGGAAGCTTTCTGAACTGTGCAGAGCAGGTCAAATCAATCTCATAACACAGTTTTACTTCTTCTTTGCAACATTAGGTAAATTAATCCTTGTGTAATTACTTAATGTCTCTCTTATGTATATGAGCTACGAAGTTGGGTATAATATCTGCCTTGTTCACTGCAGTATTCTCCATTTAGGGCTTGGCATACAGTAGGCACTCAACACATATTTGTTGAATCAATAAGTGAACTTCCCAGAGTTCACATGGTCAATATATGGCAGAACCAGGACTCAAATCCAGTTTGACTAATATCAAAGTTTATGCTTTTAATCACTGTATTCTACTATTGTCCTCTATGCCGCCACCATGATAATGTCTTAAAGACATTAAGAGCTTGAGCACAAATTTACTGTATACAGAATGAACCTTTGTGTTCTTTTCAATAGAATGTTGGGCAGCAGCTGCCTCTCAAGCTGACTGTTGCTTTTTACCTGTTCTCATATGTGATTCTACTGAAGTGAGCCAGGAAAAGAGCTAGTGATAAAAATCAAGAGGTCTAAAATAATTATTCTTAGTCAAAAAGAAGATAGATTAAAAATTATTCTTAGCCAAAAAGAAGATAGATTAAAAAGAGTGGAATTTTAATTGGATAACCTAGAAGAAGTGGATAAATTCCTAGAGACATCTAACCTATCAAGATTGAATCATAGAAAAGTAGACAGTCTGAAGAGACCAGTAATGAGTAAGGACTTTGAATCAGTAAGAAAAAAACAAAAAACAAAAAAACAACTCTCTCATCAAAGAAAAGCACAGGGTCGGGCATGGTGGCTCACACCTGTAATCCCAGCACTTTGGGAGGCTGAGGCCAGTTCAACACCAGCCTGTGGAACATAATGAGACCCCTTCCCATTAAGGGTAATTGGTGGCTGTCCTGGTTACTTGGGAGGCTGAGATAGTAAAAACACTTGAGCTCAGGAGTTTGAGGCTGCAGTGAACTATGATCGTGCCACTGTACTCCAGCCAGGGTGACAGAGTGAGACCCTATCTCTTAAAAAAAGTAAAAACTCAAGGCCTGATGGATTCACTGCTGAATTTTATCGGACATTTAAAAAAGAACTATTACTGATTCTTAAACTCTTTCTGATAGTTGAAGAGGAGGAAACACTTCTTAAATCTTTTTACAAGGCCAGTATTACCTTGATATCAAAGCCAAAAAAAGACATTACAAGAAAAGAAAATTACAGGCCACTATTCTTGATTAACATAGATGCAAAAATCCTCAACAAAATGTTAGCAAATGGAATTAAACACCACATTAAAAGGATCGTCCACTATAATCAAGTAGGATTTATCCTTGGCATGCAGAAGGGGTTCAACATACACAAACCAATAAATGTGATACATCAAATTAACAGAAGGAAAGACAAAAATTATATGACCATTTCAATGGATGACAAAAAAGCATTTGACAAAATTCAACATTCTTTCATGATTAAAAAAGATGCGTACCAGCTACTCTGTGCACGTTGCCTATGGAGTAGCCTTGTTTGCAAGAAGTAATAATTTGAAAAAGAAAGAAAGAAAGAAAAACTCTTACCAAACTAGGTGCAGAAGGAATGTACCTCAATATTATAAAGGCCATATATGAGAAGCTCACACCTAACATTTTGTGCAACAGTAAAAAACTGAAAGCCTTTTCTCTAAGATCTGCAATAAGACAAAGATGCCCACTTCTTGCCATATGCAACATATTATTGGAAGTCTTTGCCAGAGTTATTAGACAAAGGGAAGAAATAAAAAGTAAGATAACCATTGGTGAGAAAATGATCTTATATATAGAAAATCTTACAGATTTTACCAAAAAACTGTTACAGCTAATAAACAAACTCGGTAAAGCTGCGTGATACAAAATCAACACACAACAGTAGCATTTCTATACACTAACAGTGAACTATCTGAAAAAGAAATCAAGGGAATAATCCCATTTACAATAGCTGCAAAAAAAGAGAAGATACTTAGGAATAAATTTAACCAAGGAGGTGAAAGATTTGTACACTGAAATTTATAAAACAATGATGAAAGAAATTGAAAAAGAAAGAAATTGAAAATAAATGGAAAGATATCCTGTTCATGGATTAGAAGAATTAATATTGTTAAAATGGCCATACTATCCAAAGCAACCTACAGATTCAATGCCATCTCTATCAAAATTCCAATGTTTGAAGCTTGGTCTAGGAGAATCAATAGTATTGTGTTCTCTCAAAGGATAATCTATAGGGCACTTGATTGACAAGGGGCTTGAACAAAAATATAAGACACAATCAATAATCTATCTCCCATAAAACATGCAGGGAGATAACTTGAACTTATCTATATTCCACTCTGCTTTTCGCTAGACTGTATGCCTTGTAAAAGTCAATTTTTCCGAAAGTCAATTTTTCCAAAAGTCATTCTTTCTTTCAAAGCATATTGTTTGCAGTCTTGAATGGTGGAAAATAAGAGCAGAGAGGAAACTTCTACGTTGAACCTGATATTTTAACACCATAGGCCCTCCAAAAGTTATTTTTACTTTGAACAAATACAAAAATAATGCATAACTTTATTCCATCCTGATTTGCCCCCCAGCTGGCTGACTTCATTGGTTCATAAATTGCCCATGATGAATGAATTGACCTAAAGCCTTGAGCAGATGAATTTTGTGGTCAAGATTTGCTGAAAAATATATTTTTTCTCTTGTTTAGATATATCATTCCCTCAAAGAAAGGGAGTATTAACTCTGGGGTATTGATTTCCTTCTGAAAGGGACTTGGAGACCGTTGTCTTTCCACAGCCAAAAAATAAAAATAAATAAATCAAGGCTTGAATCCTTTCAAGAAATTCAAAGCAACTCCAGTTAGGCACTACAGATATTTAAGTAAATATCTGTATTTACTTAATATTTTACTTAAAAGTAAAACGTATCTACTCTGGCAGCTGGTAAGTGGTTATTTTGCATTGCAAATTTACCACAAAGCTTGTTACTTACCTATGTGCTGGAAGATGCCACCCTGCAATCTCAGAACACTGCCCATGGGTTCTCTCTGTGGACACGGTGATGGGTCTGCATGGAAGAGACCTCTTTCATATTGTTGCAGGGCCCACAAAGACTTTTAGCCCCCTAAAGAGGCAGGAGCCCAGTGAGAGTGAACCCACAAGGCAAGTCATGCCAATAAATCCAGCCAAGTGGAAACCACTAGACAGACGGGAAGATCACGGACAAGTCTGATTCCCATAAAATGGAATGTACATAATTTCCCTTTTTCTTCCACAATTTATTTTTCAGGCAAGGGAATTTAATATATAATAGGGACTTGGCTGATCTCAAAGGCAGGCTATTGCTGCTGCTCAAAGGCAGGCTAGCTCTCATTGACAAGCTATTAGTCTTAAAGATAAATCTCTCCTCTCATCCTCAGCACAACTCATTGACTTGCCCTCCCTCTCTTCCCTCCTCTCTTTCTTCTCTTCTTCTTACAAACAAAACAAAACAAAAGAGAGGTCTTCTTACAAACAAAACAAAAGAGAGGTCTTAACTGCTGATCATAACTGGTTATTCAGCCGGGAGGGTTCTTTTCCATAGTCATGCAAACTAGAGGCACTAATGAATCAATTTTCTGTCTTGGAGGTTACTGCTTGTATTACTTTATTTTCCATCATGGCTTATGTTGCCTATACAGGATCCCCAGGTACCTCCCCAAAGCATCATATTCCTCCAGGCTGGGCTGGCCCTTTGGGTAGCACTGTATGTACTTTCCTCCTACCTGATTTTGCACGGGATGGCTTTGGCTCTAGGACATTGTCACCCCTCTCTCCCTGGGACAGAACAATGAGGCAAGACAGACTGGGAGGCCCCAGGGAAGTGAGGTGGAGGAACAGGAACCCCAGGCAGCAAGGGTGATGAGAGTCAAGAGGAGACCCACCTTTTCCCATTGTCTCACCTCCCTAGGACATGCTCACTTTATTTTGTGTCAACTGACACACATCGAGTACCTGCCTTGTGCTAGTCGGCATGAGAATAAAAAGTGAGTAGGGCAGAGTCTCCATCCATGGGCTGATTCTTGGGAGGCCCCAAGGTAAGCAAGTGTTCCCAGCATGCCAGGATCCTCCTTGTATAGTGACCTTGACCAAAGTGGGTACAAAATGTGCTGTTGGGGCCACGAAAGAGCAATTTACATTTTCCTAAGAGTTCCAGGGAAGGTCAGATCCAGTTGTCACAAGCAAGTACCGCGGTCTTGTCTATGTCACCATATGGACATACTTAGAGGCTCCACACACACACATTGCTTTTTACAAGAGCAAAATGCAGAGAACGAAGGCAATAGCCAACTCTCAGTTATCGGTGGCTTCTTTTCTCCAACTGTTGGACTAATTCTCACTACTGACAGCAAGAAGCCAGGGGGCATCTGGGGCTAGTCTCCTTCAATAGAATGGCTGTGTGTGTGGGAGCAGGGGTGGGGGGGGTGTCGGGGAGGGGGCTGCTTTCCATAACCAAGGTCAGATGGAATTCACATTGGATGTTGGCTTGGATTTTGGGGGAAAAATTGAGTGGGCAATAGAATAAGGAGCACAGGCTCTGGAATCAGAGAACTTGGATTTGAATCATAGTCCCATCGCTTTCTAGCTTTGTGATTCTGGGAAAATAAATGCTTTGGCCCCAGTTTTCTCATCTGTAAAATGGGCGTAACTGACCAGGCATGGTTGCTCACATCTGTAATCCCAGTACTTTGGGAGGCCGAGGCAGGTGGATCACTTGAGGTCAGGAGTTCGAAGCCAGCCTGGCCAACAGGGCGAAACCCCGTCTCTACTAAAAATACAACAAGTAGCCAGGCATAATGTTACGCGCCTGTAATCCCAGCTATTCAGGAGGCTGAGACACAAGAATCACTTGAACCCAGGGGGCAGAGGTTGTAGTGAGCCGAGATTGCACCATTTAACTCCAGCCTGGACAACAGGGCAAGACTCCATCTCAAAAAATAAAAAGTAAAATAAAATGGGCATAATGATTTTGTTTGCCTCATTGAGCCGTTGTAAGAGTTAAAGGAGTAGGGTAGGTATAGTGGCTTATGCCTGCAATCTCAGCACTTTGGGAGGCCGAGATGAGAGGATCACTTGAGGCCAGGAGTTCCAGACCAGCCTGGGCAACATAGTGAGACCCTGTCTCTACAAAAAATAAAAAAAATTTAGCCAGATGTGGTGGCACCGGCCTGTAGTCCCAGCCACTTGAGAGGATGAGGTGGGAGGATTGCTTGAGTCCAGGAAGTTGAGGCTGCAGTGAGCCACGATTGCACCACTGCACTCCAGCCTGGGTGTCAGAGGGAGATGTCCTGTTGAAAAAAAAAAGTGTTAGAGGAGATTCATGTAAAGTGCTTAGTAAACATTAGTGATGATGATGATTGCTGTTCTTTTGTTTATATTTGTTATCTACACTTATTTATGAAGTTCAGGAAGTCCAGGCTCAGTCACAGGCTCTGGGGTGGGGCAGAGTGGCTGCAGTGTTGCTCACACACCCAACGTGCAGGGCCAGGGCCATCCTAGATACAACCCCTCACCACGTGGTATGATTTGAAGCCATAACGTCCAGCTGCCCTCAAATGCCTCTTCTAAAATCCTACCGTGTTAACCTTTTTTTTTTTTTGAGACGGAGTTTCACTCTTGTTGCCCAGGCTGGAGTGCAATGGCACGATCTCAGCTCACTGCAACCTCTGCCTCCCAGGTTCAAGCGATTCTCCTGCCTCAGCCTCCCAAGTAGCTGGGATTACAGGCATGTGCCACCATGCCACCATGCCTGGCTAATTTTTGTATTTTTAGTAGATACGGGGTTTCACCTTATTGGCCAGGCTGGTCTCAAACTTCTGACCTCAGGTGATCCACCCCCCTGGGCCTCCCAAAGTGCTGGGATTACAGGCATAAGCCACTGCGCCCAGCCCTGCATTAACCTTTAAAGTCCCAACCACTGTGTAGCGGTAAAATTTCAACATGCTGTTGTCTGGGGAAAGACAACGCATTTACCCTTTTCTACCTGGCAGAGATACCTTAATACATCCTCAAGCATTGGGTACAGCTGGGACAACCCCTTTTGGCTTGGCAACGGAGAAGTGGGACCAGGCGGTGGGGAAGCCAGTCAGGAGCCATGAGGAGCCTGGGACAGGAGGATGGTCAGTGACAGACAGTGTGGGGGTGAAGCATGTGGGGTTGGAGGCTGGGACATAAGGCCTGGCGCATAGTAGGCCCTCAATAAATATTTGCCATTAAATGACAGGGCCTGGAAAGAGGGAGCTGGGCACTGGCAGGCGTCGCTTGTCATCAGTGTGTCCAGGGCTGGCCCAGCCCAGCCAAAGTCAAGGTGCCTTCCCGGCGAGGAAGGCAGATGGTAGGTTTTCTCGGCCCGTTCTAAGGCCCGGAGGAAGCCTTTGTCCCTGCAGCAAGAACGCCTAATTCAGCCGTTTCTAGGAATCAAGGCTTCTCCTAAGTGTCTTCTTTTATGACTGGGCAAGATAGTCAATTGCTGGCCTCCAGAGAGGAAGGAAAACCTTTCCATGCCTGCTCTTGGCAATAGCAAGGTTGGTGACGTTAGGCTTCGGCAACTCGGGACTTAATCCTTTCTGCTAAGTATCTGCAATACTGAGAGGTTGGGAAGCTTACATGAAATAATAAAACCCAGCCCTAGCCGAGGGCCAGGGCTATACAGACCCTACCAAGGGATGCGGCCGCTACTTTCACCGTCCTTAAAATGATGCGCGTTGCTGCCATCTAGTGTGCACCAGCAGAACGTCTTAGTTTTTAAAATTAGAATCGCAATTCATAGGCTGGGCACAGTGGCTCATGCCTGTAATCCCAGCACTTTGGGAGGCTAAGGCGGGAGGGTTGCTTGAGGCCAGAAGTTCGAGACCAGCCTGGAGAACATAGCAAGACCCCCCCCACTCCCTTCCCATCTCTACAAAAAATTTAAAAAGTTAGCTAAGCGTGTTGGCTCACACCTATAATTCAAGCACTTTGGGAGGCTGAGGTGGGAGGATGGCTTGAGCCCAGGAATTTGAGACCAGTCTGGGCAACATAGTGAGACTCCATTCCATCGCTATAAAAACAATAATTATAATTTGTTTATTAATTTATTGAGTTCTAATATTCTGTTCTTGGTCTGAGGTGAACTAGTTCAAATCATGAGCAGTAAGCATTATGATTACACCTCTCAGTTTGATATGATAGGTTCAGGCACAAAGAGTAAAAAGTCCCCTTTTCTAGGCCCAGTGCTGCCTCTTACTGTGAGGGCAGTGAGGAAGTCATGGAGACTCCTGGTGTGGTTTTCCTCATCTGTAAAACCTACTCGCCGTCCCGCTCCTGCCCACGGTCAAGTATTGCGAGAATTGCAGTTTCACACATTCATTCATCCAGCACATGGGTACCAGGCGCAGGAGCCCTGGGAGTGTAAGGAAGCCAGGGCTCCTGCCATGGGGGAGATGACATTCTATGGGGAAAATAGAAATCACACACTCACACACACCCGTGCACTTGCATGAACACACACACACAATGGACAAAGCATGAAGCCATTTCTCACAGTGACTAATAGAAGTCCCACCTCCTCCATTCCTTGCTTCCAATCGCTCTCCTTTCATAATAGGCCAGTTCTTTCCTAAAACACAAATCTGAGCCTCTTACCAACTTGCAGAGAAACTTTCTTCCTTGTCAATACCATAAGGTTCAATTGCTCTGTCATGGAAGCTACGGTACCAATCACGCCAGCCAGCTTCCTCAAGCTACTTATGGTTTTCTGATACAACAACAGGTAACATTTACCATGTGCCAAGTATTTTGCTCAGTGCTTTATAGATCAATTTGCATATTCATCTTAAGAGTGATGTTGTGTTATTACCCCTCCCCCATTTATCTACAGGGAAACTGAGGCAGAGAGAAGTAAAGGAATATGTCTAAGGTCACACAACTAGTACATAGCAGCCCGGAATTTGGAGCTTGCAGTGAGCCGGGATCGCGCCACTGCACTCCAGCCTGGGCGACAGAGCGAGACTCCGTCTCAAAAAAAAAAAAAAAAAAAAAAATAGCAGCCTGGAACTGAAACCCAGGTCTCTGACTATGGAGCCCGCGCCTTTACCCACTCGGCCACACTGCCATGCTGCTTCCTCCCGGGCAATGCAGCACCTTCCCTCCCTTCGCATCTGGTGGGTCGGCCTTTTCATGGCCTCCTGGTGAAATCTCACCAATTGCAGATGAGCTGACTCAAGCATCCTGCCCGTGAGACTGCTCCTGACACCCACGTGGTGCAACTGCTTTCCCACTGCCAGTGCTGGAAGCCTCATTCGAAAGTGTCATGCCTGTCAGGCACGATAGAGGTTGTATACATGTTTGTCTCCCTGCACACATGGCAAGGGCCTTGGTAAACAGCTGCAGCCGTCTCAACTAAATAAAGGTTTGCTGAATTGTAGTAAATGAAACAGCACAGGAGAAACTGCTCTGTAAACTATAAAACATCAGAGAAACATGAGCCAGCAGATCCTTTGAAAAGTTCTTCATAAAATGTAAACAGATTTAGAGTATGAAGTATTCATTTATGCACAAGCGTTTTCTTCTTTGTGATTTTAGGCCACTTTCTCTGCTAACTAATAATTGCTTCTGCCTTTTCTTTTTAATATAATTTAATTTTAAATTCAATTTAATTTTAAATTCTGGGATACATGTGGAGGATGTGTAGCTACATAGGTAAACACATGCCACGATGGTTTGCTGCACCTATCAATCCATCACCTAGGTATTAAGCCCAGCATGCATTAGCTATTTTTCTGAATGCTCTCCCCTCCCCAGCCTCCCCCGACAGGCCCCAGTGTGTGTTGTTCCTCTCACTGTCCATGTGTTCTCATTGTTCAGTGCCCACTTAAAAGTGAGAACAAGCGGTGTTTGGTTTTCTGTTCCTGCGTTAGTTTGCTGAGGATAATGGCTTCCAGCTTCATCCATGTCCCTGCAAAAGACATGATCTCATTCCTTTCTATGGCTGCATAGTATTCCATGGTGTATATGTACTGCATTTTCTTTATCCAGTCTATCATGGATGGGAATTTGGGTTGATTTCATGTCTTTGCTACTGTGAATAGTGCTGCAATGAACATACGTGTGCATGTGTCTTTATAATAGAATGATTTATATTCCTTTGGGTATATACCCAGTAATGGGACTGCTGGGTCAAATGAGATTTCTGGTTCTAAATCTTTGAGGACTCGTCATAGTGTCTTCCACAGTGGTTGAACTTGCCTTTTCAACCAAGGGTCACTATATGGGGAAATGTTCCTGTTATTGACTTAGAGATTTGAAACTGTAAACTATCACTATGCACACTTTGCACAAAAGCAAGCATTTCCCTCCTTAAAGATCTTTAAAAAGCAACAGTGAAGTGACTCCTATTGGGGGCAAATCTCTCCGGGTAATGGAAGCTGACCTAGCAGTCAAACCCTTGATTCTGGCTGGGGCTCTGTCCCTCACTGGCTGTTCCCTATTGACCTTCTCAATGGTACAACAAAAGCCACCAAATGATTTCTGAGGTCCCTTCCAATCCTAGGATTCTCAGATTCGCATCTTGGCTCTGCAGTCTCATTCCTTGGAGCCACTTAATTGATTTTGGAAATCAGTTTCCATGCTTATAAATTGGACCTGGACCAATCCAGCAGAAAACTGTGAATGCTACAGAGAAATATTAATGTAAATTGCTCATGCAATTTAAAATCAAATAAATGCAGAGAAGAAAAAAGGGGTTGCGTTGCCCAGAAGTAAGTTAAAAAGAAGAGCCTAGTGATGGGCGATTCTCTCTTTTTGGTAGATGAGTTAGGTAGGTGGAGCATGAAATCTTTTTTTCTTTGGGATGATGAACTGAGATTTATACAATCAATAACATTGGAAACTATCTTCCTTGTTCTCTGGCTTCTTTCTTTTTTTGGTCATCACCTGCTTTCAATTCTGGACAGAGCTAGCTCATCGCTCCTGTGATTCTCCTGAACAAAAATTCTACATTCAAAAGCTTGAAGCTTAAGGCCCTCCTGTGGTGTTCTTTTAGCTGCTAATGAAAATTTTTTTTATATGAGATAATTTGTAGTCAGGGAGTAAATATAACATTACAAACCCAAAATTTAAAAACATAATATATGCTTCAAAGAGATCAAACAGTAGTCAAAAACAATCTTAAAAGTCTAGGCAAAGGTAGTTTCAAAGGCAGGTTCTACCAGAAAGTCCAGAAAAAATAATTCCAATTTTTCACAAACTATTCTTGAGTACAGCAGGAGAGGAAACACTCCTCACCTCAATTTGAGGCTTCCAAAATCTTGATGCCAAAACCTACCAAGGATAGTAGAAGACAGGAAAATTACTGGCTGACCACACTTAGGATCATGAATGCAAGAATTCTAGGCAATATATTGCCAAACCAAATCCAGCAACATCTCAAAGGGATGATCATAATGAAGTCTGTGTATTCCAGGAATGCAAGGCTAGCGTGACTTTGAGCATCAGTTAACGTAATTTTCTAAAGTATTTGATTAAGGGAGAAAAATTATATGATTATTTCAATAGATATAGACAAATATTTAATAAAATTCAATATCACATGTGATTTTTAATAAAATCCTTCTCAAACTAATTCACTTAACATAACTTATACCTAAAAAATAAACAAAACAAAACAAATCATAAATTCTGCCACAGTTGTCATTCTTAATGGTGAAAAGGTGAAAATATTTCTTTTTAGATGAATAATGATGGAAGGGTCCTAACAATCTTTTTTCTTTTCTTTTTCTTTCTTTCTTTCTTTTTTTTTTTTTTTTTTGAGAGTGGGTCTCACTCTGTTGCCCAGGCTGGAGTGTGGTGATGTGATCTTGGCTCATTGCAATCTCTGGGCTCAAGCAATCCTCCCACCTCAGCCTCCAGAGTAGCTGACAACCGGGCGTGCACCACCACACCTGGCTACTTTTGTCTTTTTTGTGGAGATGGGATTTCCCCATGTTGCCTAGACTTGTCTTGAACTCCTGGGCTCAAGCAGTCCTCTCACCTTGGCCTCCCAAACTGCTGGGATGACAGGCCTGAGTCACCGTGCCTGGCTGAGATCTCTAATAATCATTATAATGGAGGTCTTAGAAAGTACAGTAAGGCAAGAAAAATAAAAGTATAAGGATTGTAAAGAAACAAAATTGTTATTATTTGTAGATGTCATGATGTATATATAGGAAATAGAAACAAATTTGTATAAAACTTATTAGATTTAATAAAAAGTTTATCAGGATTATGGGTATAATACCAATATAAGAAAATCTATTGTCTTTTTATATACTGGCAACAAACATTTGGAAAATGAAATGAAAGAGTTGCCTTTTTTTTTTTTTCTGTGAACCTAAAACCACTCTAAAAAATAAAGTTTATTAATTTAAAAAAGATACCAGAATAGCACTAAAAAGCATTTAAAAAGTCAAATAAATAGAAACAGAGAGTCTAATAGTAGTTATTAGGGGTAAAGAGGAAAAGAAATTGGCGAGAAGTAGGTCCAAGGCTACAAATTTGCAGTTTGGTAGAATGAAAATGTCTAGAGAACTAACGTGAAGAATGAGGATGTAGTTAATAACACTGTATTGTATACTGAACATTTGCCAAGAGAGATTTTAGGTACTCTTTCTCTCTCACACGCAGAGTAACAATGGAATGTGATGAATAGGATAATTTTCTTGCCTGTAAATAGTCCTTTCACTATGAATATGTATATCAAAATATCATGTTGTACACCTCAAATATATAAAATAAAAATAATTTTAAAAATATTTTTAAAGGAGTAAACAGCAATAGATATATACAGTTTCCTTATAAAAAAGATAAGGAAAAGGTTTCATAAGTCCTCGAAAGTTTCTCCATTCTGTTGTTGCCTTTCTGTGCATTATAAAATGTTTTAATTTACTTTATATGTAAAAGAATAGCACAAAGGTTCTAAAAATTATAAGCCTTTTAAAAATCTTTATTGACCAATATGAAAGAAGTCCTAAATAAGTGGAGAAACATACTATGTTTATGGATTAGAACATATTCTCTCCAAATTGATTTATACACTCAAAGCAATCCCAAAAGGGTGTGTGTGTGTGTGTGTGTGTGTGTGTGTGTGTATGTGTGTGTTTGTAACTTTATAAGCAAATTTTAAACTTATACAGAAACATAAAGGACCAAGTACAGCCAAAGAAAAGAAACCAGCCTAGGAAGGCTAGGCCTATAAGATATCAAGATATGGTATAAAAATACAATAATTAAGATTGTGTAGTATGGAGGTAGAAATTAAAAAAAATAGAACAATGGAACAGAATGCGGTGCAAAAACCAGATCTACACAGATATTGTCACTGGACATACAACACAATTGATACTGCAAATGAAAGGGAAAAGAACTGATATTTGAATAAATGCTGCAAAAACAATCGGTTAGCCAGCTGGAAAAAAATATAATTGGATCCTACCACAACCCATCTTCAAAATTCAATTCCAGGTGGATTAAATAACCTAAATATGAAAGCAAAAGTATAATGCATTTATAAAATAATATTTTCATGACTTTGAAATAGCAAAATATTTCACTAGACAAAAAGTGTAAGATGATATTTGTGAAATAATAATTGATAAAGGACACATAGGTAGAATATTTAAAGAAATCTTATCAATGCATAAGAGAAAAGAACCCAATAAAAGTTGGGTTAAGAGACGTGAACAAATATTGCACAAAAGAAAGAAAACTCAATGGCTACAAAATATATTAAGAAATAAATGGTCAGTCTCATTAGTAATCATAGAAATGCATATTAAAGCCATAGCGTAATACCATTACACATACACCAGATTTGAAAATTTTAAACAACTGAGAATATTATGTGTTGATAAGAATATGAACAACTAGCACGTTGTACCCTGTGGGTGGGAGTAAATATTGCTGTAATACTTTGGAAAACAGTCGGTGCTACTTTACAATGTTGAGCATGTGCACACAGTATGACCTAAGAATTTCACTTGTATGGATGCTGTGTTAATTTCTTTCTTTCTTTCTTTCTTTTTTTTTTTGAGATGGAATCTTGCTCTGTTGCCCAAGCTGGAGTGCAGTGGTGTGACCTCGGCTCACTGCAACCTCCGCCTCCTGGGTTTAAGCGATTCTCCTGCCTCAGCCTCCCTAGTAGCTGGGATTACAGGAGCCCACCACCATGTATGGCTAATTTTTGTATTTTTAGTAGAGATGGCATTTCACCATGTTGGCCAGGCTGGTCTCGAACTCCTGGCCTCAAGTGATACACCTGCCTTGGCCTCCCAAAGTTCTAGGATTACAGGTGTGAGCCACTGCGCCCGGCCAATATTGTGTTAATCTCTGTTGCTCTGTAACAATCACCGCAAACTTAGCAATGTAAAATATCACTCAGTTTTTAGCTCACAATCCTATAGGTCAGAAGTCTAGATGGGCTTAACTGGCTTCTCTGCTTAAGCTCTCACAAGGCCTAAGTCAAGATGTTAGCTGGGCTGCGCTGGGCTGGGCTGTTATCTGAAGCTTTGTGGATGAATTCATTCCAAGCTCATTTAGCTCATTGGCAGGATTTAGTTCCTTGTGGGTGTAGGACTGAGGTCTCTATTTCATTGATTTTCTGTCAGTTTCTATGTATGTTGCGTGCATGTGTGTGTGTGTGTGCGCGCATGCGTGTGTGTGTGTGTGTGTGTGTGTGTGTGTGTGGTCATTCCCTGATCCTAGAGGCCTCTCTTTGGCCAGCAACAGCACATTAATCCTTCTCATGCTTTGGATCTCTCTGACTTGTCATTCAGTGACTAGCAAACCCTATGATTCATGTTATAAGTAGGAAGTAAAAGGTTGGTCATCAAGGAAGTGGAGACTGAAACATCTGGAAAAGAGAAGGAAGCCAGGGACTAGTTCAAAGAATCGAACCAGGGGGTTTTCACAAGAGGATGGTTTTGAAAGAAAGGATCTCTACTTTCATCTCAGAGAGATGCCTTTCCCTCTACTCTATAATGGCATCCTGGTGATCAACTAGTGTTCCCCATGGGGTATAATGAATGCCAATACACAGTGAAGTAAATACAATTTTACTTTCCAAGAGACAAGGGTAAGACAACTAGGTGCATGAATATTGCAGCAAAAGGATTTAGATAAGATTTTCTTTACCTATGAGTTTTAAAAATCAATATCACTGGCAACAGTTGTGATAAATCTGTAGAAGATTTACTGGAGTTACCATGTTTGTCAATGTAAACCCAAGACACCCTCATCTTCATCTTCTTGTACCGGTCCCCTAGCATGAGGCTAAGAGATCACAAATATCTCCTTATAGGAAATTCCCATTTGGAATTCCCTTGAAAAACCCCATTCCCATAAAAGCTAAACAAATGGGGGTGAAGTGGAGGATAACCCACGCATATCAAATTACTTTTCACTTTCACTTTATCAGTGCTAATTTCTTTTGGCCCTAAGCTCACTTTTCACATCTGATTTAAATGTTTAAACTATGTTTCTGCTTTGGAGAGCTAGGAGACATTGGAGTGTGCCCACTGTAAGTTGGAATGTCCTTTGTTCTTGGAGACGGTACTTTAGGATGCTCCTGCCAGAAATTTGGAAGAAAGGCCTTTGGACCATTTGATGAGGTAGAATCTATGCAGCCATGTCCTAGTCCAATCAGCTTTCCCTGTAAAGGATTTTATTATTGTTTTAATAGGAAGAATGTGTTCTTTGAAAAGAGCATCACGTGAGGAAAATGATAAACATCGAGTAAGAAAAATTTAAATTCTTTCAAATCAAAGACTTTATCATTTAAGTCCCTCCTCCCTCCCAAGTCACTGGTCATGCCTCATGCATTTTGCAGCCCCAGTGCCTGGCATGGTGCTCAGCCATAGCCTCTAGCAGGGGCTCACTGAATCCTGTTGAATGAGACAAATGTGAGGGCAAGTGTCCAGGCTTTGATTATTGGTTTGCCCCAACCACACTTTCAGAATCCCTGAATGAAGAGACTTTTTCTTTAGCTTGCTAATTTGTGAATTTTGAGTGGAAAAAAGTAACAAAAGCACAAAGCAATAAAGTCATAAATAACCTTAGAATTGAGTTAGTTGAGATTAAGACCTTAAAGGCTCAAGGTTCTGTTGGCATTGAAATGAAAAGCTGTTGTGCTAATTAACGTGAAATAGCACATTATACATATCATTATTAAAGTGAAATGTGCATACTGTATAACAGGTGAGTTTGGACAGCTGTAAAGGTAATTAAAACAGATGTCCTGCATCATTAGGCTTCAAACACCTGCATTAGATCTGAAGGAGGTACTAGGAGCACCTCCCATGATGGCTGTAGAAACAAATTTTTGTGTCATGAGTATAGAAGAAAAACAGTATCTGTTCATGGAGGACACTCCTTGTGTTTTCCCAAACACAGATTTCCATAAAATATAAACCACAAGAACAAGGATTTAAAGCAATGTGCAGCCAGTGAGAAATATTTTTTCCCTTTTCCTTTTTGTTTAGCTGTTTATTAAATTGAATAATTCTGAAGCCCGTCTTCCCACACTCCAGGCATACCATTTGGGGACAGGCAGGCACAGATATATGCCTCGGAAGCCCAGGAGGTTGAGAGCCTGGATAATTTTTCCTGATGAGGGTTGCAGCTCTTCCTGGGTTGCTTGAGAACTTCCTTGGCTTCTGAAACATCCAAGTGCCCCGGGAATTAACATCTTTGCCTCCTCATGAACCCATCAAACCAAGATCCAATTGCATCAGCAAGTGTACTTCTTACTGTGTATAGGTAGTAACTCTTCTTTCCTTTCCTTTCTTTTCCTTTCTTTCCTTCCTTTCCTTCCCTCCCTCCTTCCCTTCCTCTTCCTTTCCTTTCCTTTTCCTTCCTTCCCTCCCTCCCTCCCTCCTTCCCTCCTTCCTTCCTTCCTTCCTTCCCTCCTTCTCTTTCCTTTTCCTTTGTCCTTTAATTCTTTCTTCTGCTCTTGTTTTGATTTATAAAGACAAGAGTGTTGTGGCTGAAGCTTCTGTGGCCTTCACACTTGATTCTACAAGAATTTGCTAAAAACCCCATAGCAGCCTAGAAAATCATCAATCATCTTTTGGATGACATGTGTCAGGCCACTGTTCCCTCTTTTACTGGAAAAGAGGCTTTCAGCCAGCCAAAGGGTCAGGGAGCAAAGCAGAGTGACTATGACATGCAATTGCCTTCCAATCTGGAAAGAAATGCCATGTGCCACAGAGGCAGTGGGAGATCCTGGCTTTCCAGCTATACAGGGCAGGTGTGAAATCCTGTCTCATCTGTGCATTCACTTAAAAAACAGTCGATTGCATACTGTCAACTTAAAAATCACCCAATCTATACATTTGGAAAGGAGATCTTATTTATTATAAAGGGTTATAGCCTGCAAGGTGGTCATCTTGACTGGCTGGGAAGCACAGCCTAATATGCTATTCAGTGGAAATAGCGTATAAGACTGAAAAATAATATTATCAACCCCAAGGCAAGCACTTGGAGGAAATGAAACAGGAATTTATGTTGAATGGGTTGGTCTACAGATTACAGGAAAAGCTAAGCATTATCACAAAGTGAGGGCACATGCATGATAAGCAAACATGCACGTTACATGTATTCCATGTTCACTTTGGGGCAGAGACTTAACATTTAAGTGTATTCAAGTTAGACCCTATACATCAAAAGGTGAAGCAGGGACACCAAGATCCAATTGCATCAGTGAGTGGACTTCTTACTGTGTATAGGTAGTAAACCTTTCCCTCCCTCCCTCCCTCCCTCCCTTCTTTCCTTCCTTCCTTCCCTCCTCCCTAGCTTCCCTCTGGCACTGAGTGCACAGCCTCTGTAAACTGGCCACAACCAGTCTACGGTCAGCAGCCTCTGATCAGGACAAAGTTACTGAAATCAGTCTCTTCTCCAATCAAAGCTGTAGTGATGGCTGGTGGGATGGGGGTCAGTTAATCAGCATCTGGAAGTACACGAGCTGCAAATTTTTTTTTTTTTAGATGGAGTCTCGCTCTTGTTGCCCAGGCAGGAGTGCAGTGGCGCGATCTTGGCTCACTGCAGCCTCTGCCTCCTGGGTTCCAGCGACTCTCCTGCCTCAGCCTCCTGGGTAGCTGGGATTACAGGTGCCCGCCACCACGCCTGGCTAATTTTTGTATTTTTAGTAGAGACGGGGTTTTGCCATGTTGACCAGGCTGGTCTCGAGCTCCTGACCTCAGGCGATCTGCCCGCCTCTGCCTCCCAAAGTGCTGGGATTACAGGTGTGAGCCACTGCACCTGGCTGCAATTGTTTTCATATTGCTTATGTCAAGGCCAGTGTTTGTTTAGCTGCTAGAGAAAAATGAAACCTTGTGGCCGTTAGAACATAGTTTATTCTTTTAAAGTGTAGGGTGTGTGGCTTAACCCTTGCCTGGCAAGGCTTTAGGTCCTGTTCATAATTTGGTATCTTATGGCCACAAAGCATCCGTATCCCATCAGTCTGATGATTTCTATTTTAACATGAATGCTGGTCAGTTGTTGTAGCTAAACCACAAAAGGGAAGGGGTATGACAAGATGTGTCTGACCTCCTCTTCCGTCATGGCCAGGAACTTCGTTTTTAAGCTTTTTCTGAGATTCCCTTAGCCAGAAGCGGGTCCATTCACTTGATTGGAGGTCTCTTGTTTTCTTACAGTGTCAAAACTTGACTAGTTGTTTATAAGAAAACATGGAACTGTGGTCATTCTCCAGTTCTCGGTACTATGGGCCAAGTCCTGTTATAGGCACTGGTGAGGTATCAGTAGATACACCAAGTTTACTGTCATCATCACAGAGCTTGCTAACTAGTAGAGGCAGCTAGATAATAGACAAAGTGAGTACATTACTATATTTTGTTGATTCTTAGAAGCATGATGTTTCACATTAGCAACTTTGAAACTGGGGTGCATTCTATAATCGCTGGCATCTTATCATTGCTGCTGGCCGGGCAGCTGCCTTTAAGGAATTGCCATTTCCCCCGAAGTTGCAAACCTGAGAAAAGCTGCTCATAGTGTTCCTGCTTCAGCTCAGCTGGGCTCTTTGCCAGTACTATGCGTAAAGGATTTATTTTGCCATTCAAATGTCTTCAAAAAGATTCCACGATGATCTGAAATTGAAACAAAAGGTTATTGTGTACATGGAGAGGCATGGAAACCCAAAAGCAAGTATTCATCTTTGGGAGAGTGACCACAATTCCGTGTTTCCTTATAAACAACCAGTCATGTTTTGACACTGTAAGAAAAGAAGATACCCGCAAGAGGGTGAAGCTTTGTCATGTCTTACTACTGAGCTATGTTTGCAAAAGGACTGCCTATCACATGCAAAGGTTTTCAAGGCATGAGAAGTCTCTTAAAATCTCCAAATTAGTAAAAAAAAAAAAAATTGGTGAGGTGTTGAGGTAAGAGGCAGGACTCACCTCCAGAGGTGGAGCTCGGACACCAGATCAGATTGAGGACTAGCTGAAACAGGGCCAGGATGAAAGCAGCATTCAATCAGACCCACCCACCAGTGTACCAGGTCAATTTACTGTTGCCATGGCAACACTCGGGAGGTACTGCCTCTTTCCACGGCACCCAACCATCCAAAAGTTACTACCCCTCCCGTGCATAAACCACTCCTTAATCTGCATGCAGCTAAACGTGTGTATAAATATGGCTGCAAAATTGCCCTGCCCTGAGCTGCTACTCTCTGCCTACTGGGTAGCCCTGCTCTGCGGGGGCAGTCACAGAGTTGTAACGCTAAGACTGTTTTCTTTTACTTTTGGCTTGCCCTTGAATTCTTTCCTGGGCAAAGCCAAGAAGCCTTGTGGGCTAAGCTCCATGATGGGGCTCAGCTGCCCCGCATCAGTGTGACCTAATGTCAAGGCCATGACTCAGTTAGCCGCCCTTCTCTTTTGTTGACATAAAACGTAATAGTGTGCGTCAACATTCATGTCTTACATGAAATATGATGTGTTGTGTGTTAGAAATATTATGGAGGAGGTGAAACGGGGAGCACTGTGGGGAGGAGGATGCAATTTTAAGTGATGTGGCCGTGGTAGTGCTCACTGAGAAGGTGATGTTTGAGCGAAGACCTAGAGGGGTCCAGGGAATGAGCTATGTTTCCTTCTAGAATAGAATATTTCGGGAAAAACAACAGCAACAACCAACCAAACAAAGAAATTCCACAAACAAATTATGTAAGGGTATACTTTAGCCAAATACAAAATAATTTAAAGCTTTTATGGGGAGGGAAGCTCCATGAAGACAGAGGTTTTGTCAGTTTGTAACTATAGATTTTCACGCAGGGCACGCACCAGGCACTCAGTCGATGTTTGTGGAATAAACGAATAAACTTTTAAAAGGGAAATAAATGCTACATTATATAGTGAGCAATAAAACCATTAACACATTTAAATGTAGTTGATAGTATAGTTTGTGAGGTTTAACACATTTTCAAAATATTTGAAAGAATAAGCAGTATATGTCATTAGGGAATTGTAAATTCAAAAAATGAAATACTATTACGCACCTATTGAAATGGTCAGAATCCAAAACACTAACACCAAATGCTGGCGAAGATTTGGAACAACAGCAATTCTCACTCATTCTGGAGGAATGCAAAAATGGCACAACCACTTAGGAAGACAGTTTGGCAGTTTCTTACAAAATGAAACATACTCTTACTATGTGATCCAGCGTTCACGCTCCTTGGTATTTACCCAAAGGAATTGAAAGCTTATGTCCACACAAAAACCAATGCACAGATGTTTCTGGCAACTTTCTTCATAATTGACAAAATTTGCAAGCAACCAGGATGTTCTTCCATAGATGAATGGATAAACCGTGGTATGTCCAGACGATGGGATATTATTCAGTGATGAAAAGAAAAGGTGCTATCAAGCCAACAAAGGCATGGTGGAACCTCAAATGTATATTACTAAGTGAAAAAGCCAATCTGAAAAGGCTACATACATACTGTGTGATTCCATCTATACGACATTCAGGAAAAGGCAAAACTATAGAAGATAGTAAATAGATCAGCGGTTGCCAGGGGTTGGGGAAAAAGAAGGATAAATAGGTGGAACATAGACGATTTGGGGGCAGCGAAACTGTTTTGTAAGATGCTATAAGGGTGGATACATGTCATGATATATTTGTCAAAAGTCATAGAATGTACAACATCAAGAGTGATCCCTAATGTAACCTATGGACTTTGGATGATAATGATGTATTAACGTAGGTTCATTGAGGATAACAAATGTACCATTTTGGTGCAGGATGTTGATGATGAAGAAAGCTGTGTATATGTGGGGATGGGGGGGTATATGGGAACTTTCTCTGCTTTCTGCTCAAGTTTACTGTGTTCCTAAAACTGCTAAAAAGCATAAAGTCTATTAGAAGATAAAAAGGGTATACGGTGCAAAATAAAAGAAGCCCTATAATAATAATTATAATCTTGGAACTAAATTCAAGGAGCCATCAAAAGGAGGGGGCTACAAAAGGTTGCAAACACCTCATCTTGTTAGACTTGTTGAAAGGGGGATTATACGTATTATTTAATTATTAATGATGCAAAAATATTTTGTTGAATTAAGTTAGCTAAAAATGTAGTAAAATTCTAGTAAAATAGAAATAGGATGTAGAACTTCAAAATGAATATGGAAAAGAACAATGAAAAATGTAATGAACCCCATATATGTTAGGAAAGGAAAAGAAAAACACGAAGAAAATACAAATAGAAAACATAAATGGAGTTGGCACCATTCAAGCTACCAGGACAAAGACAGATTCTCCTACTGAATGACAGGGCAGTTCTGGGTCTGCTGAGGGAGCAGGAGAAGGCTGCAGGTGGCTTCCCGTAGGACCGTGTGGCCTGGGGACAGACTGGTGGCTGGTGTTTGTGTGCCTAGGGTGCAGGCAGGGGTTCCTTTGGGGACAAACTCCCTTTTACCCAAGGCAGCTTGGAGGGCAGTCGGCTGCTTCCTGGATGGGGGTCTCAGGAAGGTCACAAAAGCTGGTTCATCCCCATCCCATCCATCTACTTGAGATCTTCTGGATGTGGTTAGGGGTAGGAAATAGGGAAGAAGTGGTCAAAGTCAAATAAAGTATAGAGATGAATCTCTACATTTAGGACATTTTATTGGGGAAGCAAAAATTGCAATTTGGGGCATACATGCATACCAGGTGGTCTTTGGTATGTCCAAAGAACAAAGAGAAGGTTAGAGGTTTTATATGTAAAAGAGAGATAAACGTTATGTATTGTCCTTCAAGGAAGTTCAATGGCACTAGTAAAATTTTGCGTAGCTGGAACTTTCTGATAGGCAAGTGGTGGCGGCAGGTAAAACTACTTTTAGAGTCCCAGCAGGTTGTTTCGTAGCCATTAGATTCGACTGGTTTGGGGATCCAGCAGGCAGTTTCAGCAGCTGAGCTTGCAGAAAATGACATTCTTGGAGCAACCCTATATGTTGTGTGTCAAGAGTGCATTCCCCACGCCTTGGCTTCTCAACTCTGTTTTAGTTGGGTATGACAGGAGTCATCGAATTCGTGTAATCAACGTTCACCAAGTGAACACAGATGCTAAGCTGTTATAAATTATGTTCCATTTTCCATTTGCTGTGGCACACACAGGCTAGCCAGGGTACCACCTTCTTTTGGTTCCCCACCCACAATTGACATTAGGACTTGACTTTTAACATCCACCCCACCTGCAGCTGGGGACGTGGACTGACCACCTGTGCAATTAGAGACGTTTTCCTGTTGATCCCTTTCTAAATGTGTCTTCGGCTCACTCTGACCTCCAGTCAGAGCTGAGCTGGGGGTTCCTCCTCAGGACTCTGTCGGGGAAGTTCTTTCATTTCTCAGCGAGCCTCCCTGGCCGACTCTGAATTACCAGTCAGTCAGCCCTGATCAATTTTTCTGTCAATTTGATCCCATCTACCTCACACTATCCAACGTTTTCTCAAAGTTTCTGGCCTGCTGATGGCCCTCTCTGCTATTTCCTGGCACTATTTATTTCTGTTTCTTTTGATGATCTTTGGTTATTTGAGTGGGAGTTGGGGAAGAGGGGGATGTAAATAGCAATTTAAGGTTGATTCTAAAGGGGGGATTCCAAAAGCGGCAGCCTCATTATAATACATGCACCCTCATTACTTGGAGGGTAAAGCACTCATTTGGCTGCACCAAGTCTGCCACCATATGTTTGTTAAGAAACCAAGCCCAGTCCTTTGAGCATGCCAAGCGTGCTGCCCCAGGGCCTTTGCACAACCCTTCCCACTGCAGGGCTGGCTCCTCCCCCAGGTACTCACACAGCTCATCTCCTCGCTTCACTCAGGTCTCTGCTCACATGTCCCCTCCTGAGAGGGACCGTTCCTGTGTCTCATCTTCCCACCATTGCCCACGCTTACTTTCCTTGCCTTATTTTTTTTTTCTTGGCGTTTGTCACTCCCTGACATTGTATTATATATTTATATATATTTTTTTGTCTTTCTCCTCAATGTAAATAAACTCCAAGAGGGAAGGCAGGGTCTTTGTTTGGTAACTTCTTTCTCCTCTGCACCTAGAACAACATTTTGCATGCAGAAGCCCTCAATCAATATTTGCTGAATGTGGCTGGGAATGGTGGCTCATGCCTGTAATCCCAGGGATTTGGGAGGCCGATGCTTGAGCCCAGCAGTTTGAGACCAGCCTGGGAAATGTAGTGAGGCTCTGTCTCTACAAAAAAAAAAAAAAAAAAAAAAAGTTGTCTGGGTGTGGTGGCATGCACCTGTTAGTCCCAGCTACTTGGAGGCTGAGGTGGGAGGATCGCTTGAGGCTAGAAGTTGAGGCTGCTGTGAGCTGTGATAACACCACTGCACTCCAGCCTGGGCAACAGCAAGACTCTGTCTCTTAAAAAAATTTGCTGAATGTATGAACTTGATTCCCTTTTCATTTATCATCTGTGATCGCTGAGACGGGTAACTAGTTAAGCTGAGTTAACCACATTCTTTCCTTCCCTTTCTTTAGCGTGGGATTCACAAAACAACTTTCTTATAATTTTAGTAGATGTTCATGACTGAATTAAAAATACCTTGCATTTTATTGCTTGGTACTCAATCAACCTTCTAGTTAACAAATCAGCCCTCTAAAAAACCTGGAGATGGATCGAGCATGGTGGCTCACACCTGTAATCCCAGCACTTTGGGAGGCTGAGGCAGGCAGATTACTTGAGGTCAGGAGTTCGAGACCAGCCTGGCCAACATAGTGAAACTCTGTCTCTACTAAAAATAGGCCTGGCACGGTGGCTCCGCCTGTAATCCCAACACTTTGAGAGGACGAGATGGGTGGATCACCTGAGGTCAGGAGTTCAGAGACCAGTCTGGCTAAGATGGTAAAACCCCGTCTCTATTAAAAATACAAAAATCAGCTGGGTGTGGTGGTGCATGCCTGTAATTCCAGCTACTTGGGAGGCTGAGGCAGGAGAATTTCTTGAACCCAGGAGGCAGAGATGACGGTGAGCCGAGATCGCGCCAGTGCACTCCAGCCTGGGCGACAGAGCAAGACTCCGCCTAGGAGGAAAATAAATAAATAAAAAAAAATTAAAAAAAAATTAGCTGGGCATGGTCGGGCACACCTGTAATCCCAGCTACTTGGGAGGCTGAGGCATGAGAATCCTTTGAACCTGGGAGGCAGAGGTTGCAGTGATCTGAGATCACGACACTGCACTCCAGCCTGGGCAATAAAGCAAGACTCTGCTCAAAAAAAAAAAAAAAAAAAAAAACAAAAAAAAAACCATTGGAGACGTCAGCGTGTCAGAAGGTGAAGCCCTGCGGTCAGCGGTCAGGCTTCTTGGTGTCTGCAGTGCCTCTCTGAGTACAGGCTTTTGTTTACGAGCACATTGCTCAGATCTACCAGCTGGACAATCCTTCAGAGACAGTAAGGCGACACAATAGTTCCCAATGGCTGTGTTTGTTTGGGTCTGTCCTCAGCTGACATGATTCTATTAATACCAGCAATCGCTCTTTGCCATTCTGTTATTTTCCAGTGTGATGAATGGTAAGTGTATGGATGAAGGGAGCTTTACAATAGCAAACGATTGTTTCAGCTCGCTTTGACTACCTCCAGCTGCCTGTTCAAGTAGAAACGAACTGCTCAAGGTGGAAAGTAATTGCTCCACAAAGAATTTAAGTACCAAGGAATGTTGAAGTGGGAAAGAAGGTTCCGAGGCGGGCTGAGCACACCAGCATACGAAGGCTGACCTTCTGAAACAGCATTTGGGCAATGCCAAGGGTTAGCCATCTTGCTAGCCTTGCGGGTGATCAACATGCTGGTACTACTGGTTCTGGAATTCCTCCAGGGAAGAGGCATAAGGCACCCCCAACACCTCCACCCCCAGAAAAAAAGCTTGTGAGGAAGGAAGGAAGGAGGTAACAGAAAAGACAGAGAGGAGTAAAAAAAAGAGAACTCATTTTTGTTGGGAAGTAATAGAGTGTCACAACAATAGAATTTTGCTCACGGGCCTCAGTACAAGGTCTTCTATCTAGTGAGCAGGGGAAGAATCTGTTCTCGCTTTGCCATTTGACTTCTGGAGAATGGCCGCAAAGTGCTTTGGTATTGCCCCAATTGCTCTGGACATTGTCAGCTCTTGAAGTGCATTTCAGGACTTTGAGAGGCTTCCAATTCTAAAGCGAAGCTACTACCCATGGGCAGACTTAATGAATGTCCTGCTTGCTACTCCCAGAATTCCTCCTTTTTCCATTAGTAATTCAGAGTCCTGAGTTATTGTCAAGAAGCCAGAGACTTCCCTGGCTTCCAGAATGACTAGGATGTTTTACAGAACTCCTCACACCAGCTGCCATGTTGGAGCAGATTATGGATATGGCGGAAGACTAGCTCAAAGGGAACTTTTCATAAAAGCTCTGTTGAAGAAAACAATCCCTTTTCTCTTTGACCCTTTCATAATTCCCCCCTGGTTTAGCACCTCCTGCTGGCACCCAAACCAGATGCTCTGATCACGGATAGGATCCCTGATAGGATAATCGGGGAGGGTGGGAGGGATCTTGTAAGTTTTGCCTCCATTTGGCCTTGAAGTTGTCTTTTTATATTCTTCTGATTCATGCTCAGCATATTATGAGACAGATAACACTGTCCTGTTAGCACTGAACACTTTCCAGATTTCATTTAACACGTTGGCAACGAAGATATCACCTGAGTCTTCCTCCTGTCCCATGCCCAGTAGTATAATCTCTCAGACAACACAGTGGCCTGCATTCTAGCAAGAGTGTTCATCATCAACAAGGGGCCCTGAATAATAGTAAGAAAATGGAAGATAATACAGGGTTAAAAAAGTGGGCTTGAGGGTCTGAGAAATCCGAGTTCCCCTATTGGGTAGCTACATGAACTTGGCTAATTACCTAGCTTCTGGGAACTTTGATTTCTTTATCTGTTAAACGGGGAGTCTCTCTCGTAAGCGTTTCCATGTAAGTCTCTTAGAACCAGGCCTTAAATATTCTAAATGCACAATAAATATTTGTGATTTGGTGGTTATTACTATGATCATTAATTCTAGAGAGTAATGGGAAGTTTTATTGTAATATTGTTTTGGGAATGATAACCAAAACAATATTTACTCCAGGTCTTTTCTGGTTGATACGGTTCCCCAAATCGAATTCAAGAGTCTCTCAGTGGTGTGTGATTGCAATTATGCAAAGAAGACTGCTGTGCCCCTTCAATCCGTCTTTCATACAATCACCTGTTAGTATTTAAAAAATGAAAATCTTATCACCTTACTCCCTGTCTTGTCCTCCAATGTCCTGAAAAAATGCCTCTTGATCTCCCTATGGGGGACCCTAAGGACATCCTGTCTTGGTCCTCCCTAGTTCCATGGTTCTCATTTGCCTTCAGGAGAGACCCCAGACTCCTTAGCTGGACTCTGGTCAGATGGGATGGGTCAGTTACAGTAGAGCTTGCAGAGGTCAGGCCTCATGATAGTGAGTTCTTATGAGATCTGATGGTTTTTTGTTTTTGTTTTTTGAGACGAAGACTTGCTCTGTCACCAGGCTAGAGTGCAGTGGTGCCATCTTGGGTCACTGCAACCTCTGCCCCTGGGTTGAAGTGATTCTCCTGCCTCAGCCTCCTGAGTAGCTGGGACTACAGGTATGCGCCATCACACCCAGCTAATTTTTTTTTTGTTTGTATTTTTAGTAGAGACAGGTTTTCATCATGTTGGCCAGGCTGGTCTTGAACTCCTTACCTCAAGTGATCTGCCCACCTCGACCTCCGAAAGTGCTGGGATTACAGGCATGAGCCGCCACACCTGGCCAAGATCTGATGGTTTTTTATAAGTGTCTGTTGTTTCTCTGCTTGCACTTCTCTCTCCTGCCTCCATGTAAAGAAGGTGCTTGCTTCTCCTTCACCTTCTGCCATGACTGTAGGATTCCTGAGGCCTCCTCAGCCAGGTGGAACTGAGAGTCAATTAAACCTCTTTCCTTTATAAATTATCCACTCTTGGATAGTATCTTTATAGCAGTGTGAAAACAGACTAATACAGCACCTATTCCAGGGTTGAAGATTTAATAGGCTCCCCACCTCTTTTTTTTTCTTTTCTTTCTTTCTTTTTTTTTTTTTTTTTGAGATGGGGCCTGTCTTTCACCCAGAGCAGAGTGGAGTGCAGTGGTGTGATCACAGCTCATTCCAGCCTCGAAATCTCCTCCTCAAGTGATCGTCCTGACTCAGCCTCCTGAGTAGCTGGGACTACAGGCACACGCTACCACACGCTTAACACATATTTTTTGGTTACTTAAGACTTTCCTTAATCTTGTTACAGCCTATATGTTGCCATTCCTATATTTCTTAAAGTTTTCTCAAAAGTGAAAGAAAACTTCTCCTTTTAGGCATTTAAATAGAGGTTTTTCTCAGAGGAACAGTGTTGTAAAAATCACAGATAAATAGAAAATGACCAGAGCAGATCGTGCTGCTGGATGACAGAAAAGTATCTCAACACTAGAGGTCCCTCTCTCCATAGCATCCAGTGGACCTGCCTGGGGATGGCTGCCAGCTTTGGTGGCTTCTGACTTGGAACAAAAAGTGAGGAGTGGAGGAAATTTGAACTAGCGGATTCTTTGTGGCTTTGCAAATTAAATCTCATACCTCAAGCCTGCCCTGCTGAGGCTCTGGCACAGACACACAAAAAGTACTATTTTCTTCTCCTGAATCCTAGTTCCAGTTTAATTTTATTCTATTTCGATCTGGTTCTTGAATTAGCCATGTGATTTTATTCAAATCTTTTTCTCTTATTCCCATCTGGGAAGCAATCTGGGTTGGGTTACTGGCTTTACTCTGCAATATCTGCAGAATATGAGCAAGTTATGGAGTCCCCCTGTCCCTCCGAGGGTCATGAGGGATATGGGAATACAAACTCGAGGGTTACTCAAGTTGCTGTGGCTCAGCTGTGACTTATCCGGGTCCGGCTTCACCCCTCCAGGGACAGGGCTCCTCCCAGCCATGAAGCACCTTTCATTATTCACACGCAACTAGCCAGTAAAAGAGACGAGAGACTCGGTGGGGTGTGCTATGTTTTCCACCAAGGGTCAATAACTGGCAAGAAAAGAAATCAGTCCAGGGACACAGGAAAAGAGTAAAGTTTGCTTTTGAAATGAGACACAGAACATTTCACTTGTGTTAGACAGTAAAGAATAGAAGGATGAAATGAGAACATAAAGTTTCAGTCTGTTGTCTTGCGGGTGATGGAGTAGGGAAGAAGGGGAGAGAAATGGGGCGGGTTCTCCCATGGCCTCCTTGTGGCTAAAGGCTTCATCGTTCGTGAACTCCTAGAAGAGGCATGGCAGAGCTCAGAACATGGCCTGTCTCTCCACCGTCCGCATCACAGGGGCCTCCATCCCCTCCCTTCCCCTGCACACACCTGCCCCTGGTTACTCTTCATCCGTGGTGCACTTAGATAGCTCGGGCCACTCTGCAGACCACAGAATGGAGATGAGGGCAGTGGCAGCCCTGGGGGGATTCACCAGACAATTTAATCAGAGCATTCCAGGGGCTAGAAGCAGAGGCATGAGCTTGGAGATTGGGGTATTCCCTTGGCCTTGGGAACGCCTCTCTCCATGAGGACTGTCATGGGGGGAGAAGGAACAGTTAAGGGCTGAGGGTAGGGCCCTGTCTGCCCAGGTTTAAGAGTGGTACGGGGTGTTCCCAAAGTCTCCATTCTCCCTTTGTTTGTCTTCCAGTTTCCTGTCTGGAGCTCCTTGGGTTAGAGCCTTCTCAAATTCAGGACGAGGATATCCCCTGACTAACCCAACCAAAGTTTCTTTTCTCATATCCAATGGCTACGTCCTTTAGGATTTTTGCCAAATCCTGTGGCTTTGCACTCGGCATAAACTGTGTGTAGCAAAGAAAATGTGAGGACCAGATGCTTGGTCAACAAATGCTGTCTTCTTTTTTTGTTTTTCTTTTTCTTTTTTTCTGAGAAGGCATCTCACTCTGTCGCCCAGGCCAAGCAGTCCTCCCATCTCAGCCTCCCAAGTAGCTGGCACATGCCCCATGCCACACCCAGCTGATTTTTAAATTTTTTGTAGAGATGGGGCCTCACTATGTTTCCCAGGCTGGTCTTGAACTCCTTAGCTCAAGTGATGCTCCCACCTTAGCCTCCAAAAGTGCTGGGATTATAAGCATGAGCCACTGCACCTGGCCCTGTCTTCTCATAGCGAGTTTGAACCTAGTTTGGAAGTGGCTTACAACTGTACAAGTTATCAGTGCAATTCAACATTCCTTACAGGTGCCTCAGCTCATTCCAAAGTGGATTACACAGAGAAAGAGATGACATCACACACATTTTAGGACCCTCACTGAGAGCTTTTGAATGGGTTTTACAGTCATGAGGCTGAATGATGACGGCCACATTTCCTCCTTGCTAGGAGTGTGGAGAGCCCAAAGGAAAAAGGGGTTTGGGGTGCTGTCCCAGACACATCTTCGTGTTGGGAATGGTGCCACAGAAATTCCCGACACCTCAGTTTCAAAGCCGTTCATCAGATCATGGACGTGTTAGTTTGCCGCCCTGGAAATCTACTTGAGGTTTTGGCAAAGTCTTTTTAGCTGGCTGTGACATAACCACAAATTGGAAGGAAAGTAATGCATTTCACATGTTACTGGCAACCCTGGACCCACCCACAGCAGTGAAATGACTCCGAAAATTCCTTAGCTGACTCCTTACTGCTTTTATTTTCTCTACAAAGAGACACAACTCAGAGGTCTTTCTCGATGTTCGAGTCAAGGACCAGGAACACCTGTTCATCACTAGTGGCTTGAAACTTCGGGTGGAGAAAGGCTCAAAATCTGACAGTGGCATTCTTGTCAATTTAGGGATAGGCAACGTGCAATTTTGGACCTCGGGCGAACGGAATTCTGTCACCATCTTGCACCTCGTTTTGCTATGAACCCATGCAACCTCCTAGGAGGTGCACAGAGTTTGAAATGAAATCCAATTAACCTTTCACAGTGTTTCAGCTGGGAGGCTGGGAAGCACATTTGTTTCACCTAATTCCGCAGTTGTCGTGATGCTAATAGATGTTCGCACATTGAGAGACCTAATAGTCATTGCATTTTTATAGCCCGGCAATTGACTTCTCCATTTTTATAGCAGCCTGGGAGGCTGGAATATTGCAGGCAGGGTTCTCTGTCACAGCTTCCCTTTCTTCTGGGCTGTGGTGTGTGCTTGTTCTGCAGGTGCCTGGAAACCCCACCCCCTTATATTCTCTCCTCAGTGGGACAGAGCAAAATAACAATTAAGTGTCAGGAAGAAGAATGTAGGTTTCAAAACATTGCGATCACTTTTCTGTATGAAATACCTTTCTATGGAAGTTGTAGAGCCTCTTGTGTGCCAGTAATTTAAAAATACGTATTTCTGGGAGATTGGGGTATGCTGGTTATACATTGCTGTGTAGCAAATTACCCCAAAACTCTAGTGGTTTGAAACAACAATATTCATCTATTGTCATTGCATTAGTTTGCTCAGGCTGCTGTAAGAAAGTATCACAGACCAGGTGGCTTAAATCATGGTCCCCAACCTTTTTGGCACCAAGGGCTGGTTTCATGGAAGACAATTTTTCCATCGATGGTGGGGGTGGGAGGGTGCAGTGGTTTCAGGATGATTCAAGCGTATTACATTTGATGTGCACTTTATTTCTATTATTATTGCATTATAATATCTAAGGAAATAATTCTACAACTCACCATAATGCAGAATCAGTGGGAGCCCTGAGCTTGCTTTCCTGCAACTAGATGGTCCTATCTGGAGGTGATGGGAGACAGTGACAGATCATCAGGCATTAGATTCTCGTAAGGAACGTGCAACCTAGATCCCTGGCATGTGCAGTTCACAGTAGGGTTCATTCTCCTACGAGAATCTGATGCTGCCGCTGATCTGACAGGAGGCTGAGCTCAGGCAGTAACGCCAGCGATGGGGAGTGGCTGTAAGTACAGATGACGATTCACTCGCTCACCTACTGCTCACCTCCTGCTGTGCGGCCAGGTTCCTAACAGGCCATGGACCAGTTCCAGTCTGTGGCCCGGGGGTTGGGGACCCCTGGCTTAAACAACAGGAATTAATTTTCCTACAGTTCCCGAGGCTGGAAGTCTGAGGCCAAGGTGTTGGCAGGGTGGATTTCTCCTGAGGCCTCTCTCCTTGGCCTGTGGATAGCTGCCTCCTCCTTGTGTCTCCACGTGCTCTTCCCTCTGTACCTGTGTCCCAATCTCCTACTGTTATAAGGACCACCAGTTCTATTGAATTAAGACCCACCCTAATGACCTGCATTTAACTGAATTTCCTCTTTAACATCCCTGTACAGTCACATCCTGAGGTAGTGTGGGTTGGGACTTCAGCATACACATTTTTTGAAAGGACACAATTTTGACCATGAAAGTCATGAGTCTGCAATCTCGACAGAGGTCAGCAGGGATGACTCATTTTTGCTCCACAACATCTGGGACCACAGCTGCAATGATTAGAACAGCTGGAGGCTGGAACAGCTGGGGCTGCACCTGCCCCCCTTGCTCTCATGCTCACTCTCTCCCTGTCTCTCGCTCTCTCTTGCTCTATGGTCTCTGTGGGTGCAGTCTCCAGTGTTGGCTGCTTTAGGGCAACCGGGCCTCTTAATGTGTGGGATCAGGGGTTCAAGAAACTTGGGCAGAACCTGCAAGGCTTTTGTTGCCCAGCCTTAGAAGTCATCATTGTCCGTCCCCCTTTATTTTTTTTTTTTATGTTTTGAGACGGAGTCTCACTCTGTCACCCAGACTGGAGTGCAGTGGCGTGATCTCAACTCACTGCAACCTCCACCTCCCGGGTCCAAGCGATTCTCCTGCCTCAGCCTTCTTAGTAGCTGGGATTGCAGGCATGAGCTACCATGCCCGGCTAATTTTTGTATTTTTAGTAGAGACGGGGTTTTGCCATGTTGGCCAGGCTGATCTCGAACTCTTGACCTCAGGTAATCTGCCCACCTCATCTTCCCAAAGTGCTGGGATTACACGTGTGAGCCACCGTGCCTGGCCTATCCCCCTAACCTATGGGTCGAACAGGGCCAGCAGTGATTCAGTATGGGAGTGACGTAGCAAGTGTGTGAATATGGAGAGGTCAGGACCCTTGAGGGCCTCCTTGAAGGCTGGCTACCCCAGGGGAGAACATGAGCCTGACACACAAGCCCAAAAGGAGACAGATTTGTGCCTGGTGCTAATTCCAAGCCGCTCTGCTTACAGAATGGTGAGGACCTGAGGATTTCTCAGCTCACACGGCTCCACGGGCCATCTCTCCACCTCCAGGGACAAGTTCTCACTTTCAGGGGTTCCTGGTTTTGGAAGAGGGATCACAATAAGAAACATGCACCAAGACCCTTAAAGCGACATCTACCCCAGGGGGGTGGGCAGAGGAACGGGGAAGTTAGAGCAGAGGCACTCCCGCAGGACCCTGCAAATGTTTGTTGCCAGGGTGAGATGAGTTCAGAAGCATTGATTGGAATTGGACAGGGTACTTTAGATCTGTCTAACTTAACACTTTTATTTATTTATTTATTTAGAGACAGAATCACACTCTGTTGTTGCCCAGGCTGGAGTACAGTGGCACAGTCTCGGCTCACTGCAACCACCGCCTCCCCAGTTCAAGCGATTCTCCTGCCTCAGCTTTCCTAGTAGCTGGGATTACAGGCATGAGCCAACACACCCAGCTAATATTTGAATTTTTAGTAGAGACGGGATTTCACTATGTTGGCCAGGTTGGTCTTGAACTCCTGGCCTCAAGAGATCCACCTGCCTCGGCCTCCCAACGTGCTGAGATTAGAGGCATAAGCCACTGCACCCGGCCAAACTTAACATTTAAAAATGTGGGTTCATTTTTGTACATATTTGTTTTTTTCTGTCATTTTCCCGGTATTTCTGTTATCTTTTACAAAAGCAAGTCCTTCTGAATGTATGTCATGTCACTGACTATGCACTTAAAAATGGCTAAAATGCTACGTTTTATGTTACATATATTTTACAACAGTTCTTTTTGAAAAAAACAAAAAAGTCCATAGGAGGCTTGTGACATGGTGTCAGCCGGGCATAGGTTCATATCATCCCCTTTCTCATCTTCCTCACACCCTTAGCCACAGCCCTTATCTTCTCTTGCTTGGTTTATTGAGTTGTTTCTGTTCCAGAATCTACCACCATCTTCTCCACTCCTTTTTTGGCTTTGCCGCCTTTTCTGGACGCTTCTCTCCAGGTGCCACAAATCTCACTCCTCGTGACTGGCTCTGGGATGTCCCATTTCTCAGTGCTTCTCCACCTACTTCAAGTCAGTTCAGCCAACTTTTCTGGGATAACCATCCCAGGCTAGGCATGGTGCTGGGTGCCAGGGAGGTATGAATGATTTCTGTTTTTTGAGAATTCAGGGTCCAGGAGTGGAGGAGACAGACCGAGAAACAGAGGGTTTCAACAGGATTAGTCAAGGGCCCTGGTGGACAGGAGGGGAATCAAGGGAAGTTTCTATGGACCAGATCCTTAGGGCTGGGTGGAGTCAGCCAGGCAAAGAATGCAGGGAAGATCTAGGTGGCCTGGGGAAGAGTTTAGATGAAGGTAGTGGGCTGTGGCTGTCTAGGAGAGGACAGACTGCTAGGGTTCTGGAGGGAGAGGGGGTGATGTCCAGCCTGCAGAGGACCCAGAGGCTGGCTGCGGAGCAGCGAGGGGTGTCTGAGGACAGAAGCCACTGAAGCATTTTTAGAAGGGATGTGAAATGGTTGCTTTTGCTTTTCTATATATTGCTCTGGGGTTGAGTGGAGGGGCTGGAGGGAGAGCCCAGGGGCAGGGAACTCTGTAGGGAAAGAGTTCAGGAGATCCCACGAAGGCTGAACGAGGGCAGTGGTCATGGCAATGAGGAGAAGGGAAGGACCTGAGGAGGGGTTTAGAGTTAAAAGTGGCAGGGCTTGGCTGCTGGGTCAAGGGTGAAGAGTGGAGTGTGTGTGTGTGTGTGTGTGTGTGTGTGTGTGTGTGTGTTTGGTGAGGGTCAGGGGACATGCAATTCTAGGATGCAGCTGTTTTCCCTACATGAAGCCAAATTTTTCCTCTGTTTGTCCTTCCCACTGCAGCTGCTGTCTTCTTGAACTTGACTCTCTTTCTGCTAGGGTCCCTCTGGTCCAGGCTGCCATGCTCTCCCCCTGTATTGCAACCTTCCTTCTGCCAGACACCTATCCCAATGCAACAGGGAGGTGAGGCAGAACCCCTTAACAAAAAGTCTGTCTTGACCCAAGGTTCCCACTCATTTAATCAGCCACTTGGTGGCACGTAATTTACAATTATAGTCATGCATTGCTTTAAGCACAGGATATGTTCAGAGAAAAGCATCATTAAGCGATTTCTTCATTGTGTGAACGTCACAAGTACTGGCTGTACTTACCCAAATCTAGATGTACAGCCTACTGCACACCTAGGCTAGATGGAATAATAGCCTGTTACTCCCGGGCTACACACCCGCACAGCATGTGACTGTACTGAATACTGTAGGCAACTGTAGCACAGTGGGAAGTATTTGTGTATGTAAACATATCATATCTAAACATAGAAAAGGCACAGGAAAAATCCCATATAATAATCTTATGGGATCACAGTCATATAGTCCCGTATATGGTCTGTTGCTGAACAAACATTACGTGGGGTATAACTGTGTTTGTGTGTGCGTGTGAATGAAGGCTTTTTTTTTTTGAGAGAGAAAATTCATTCAATTTTTTTAGAGCGTGAGAGTTTTTATTGCCATTTTATTTTTAGAAAATATCCTTTTTAGGCCGGGTGCGGTGGCTCACGCCTGTAATCCCAGCACTTTGGGAGGCCGAGGTGGGCGGATCACGAGGTCAGGGGTTGGAGACCAGCCCGGTCAACACAGTGAAACCCCATCTCTACTAAAGATACAAAAAATTAGCCAGGCATGGTGGCATGTGCCTGTGATCCCAGCTTCTCGGGAGGCTAAGGCAGGAGAATCGCTTGAATCTGGGAGGTGGAGATTGCAGCGAGCCGAGATCGCACCGTTGTACTCCAGCCTGGGCGACAGGGAGGACTCCATCTCAAAAAACCAAAAACAAAACCAAAAATATTCTTTTTATTTTAGAGTAATGTTAGATTCACAGCCCAATTGCAAAGTCAGTGTAGAGAATTTCCATATATCCCTCACCTGTGTTTACTTTCCTCCAGTGCTATCTTACCTGACTGTGGTGTGTTTCTCAAGGGCAGGAGATACACATGGGTATGTTACTGCCAACTCAATTACAGGCTTTATTTGGATTTCACCTGTTTTTTGCCTTTACCATCCTTTCCTGATCCAGGGCCCAATCCAGCCCCCGGAAATGTGCTCAGTTGTCCTAATTCCTTAGTTTCTTCTTGCCTGGGATGATTTCTTAGTCTTTCCTTGTTGTTTGTGACCTTTGTAGTTTTGATGAGTATTGGTCAGCTATTTGTAGAAGGCCCCTGAGTTTGAATTTGTCTGATGTTTTTCTCGTTAGACTGGGGTTGTGGATCTTTGGGAGAAAGACTGCAGAGGTGAAGTTTTGTTCTGTCCCCATCTTACCAGGGCATGTGGCATCCATGGGGCATTACTGATGATGTGGGCTTCAATCCTTGGGTCAGGAGGTGCTTGCCAGGAGTCTCCATGGTATAGTTATTCTTTCTCCATAGCTTTGCTAGATTTTTTTTGGGAGTGATGCAAAGGTTTTTAATGTATGAATTTTAAAATGCAGGATGTGTGTTCTTCCTTCTGCCCATTGGACTTCTGTGCTGAGTTTGGTGCCCATTGTCACTTATGCAGCCATAAGTGCATAAGTGAGGTATTAAGCAAATTCAGGGCAATTATAGCATCTGTTGAGCTCAGGTTGTTCATCACCAGCCACAGAGTCATGTTAGGTACCTCCATGGATGCAATGCAGCACAATGCACAGATCGCGAGCCTTGCTGTCAAACCTGGCTTCAAATCCTGGCATCCCCGTTAGTTGCTGTGTGATGTGGAACAAATTACTGAAATGGCCTCATTGTTTGCAGTAACACCCGAGGTACATTGTTGCATGGTCACGGAGAACAAGGACGTGGACACACAAAGAGTGAGGTTGAGAACAGAAGTTTGATAGGCAAAAGAAAGAGAATAGCTCTCTGCAAGCAGAGAGGGGTACCGAAAAAATGGGTTGCTGGACCCATGGGGGTTACGTAGATGATCTATCTGGTGAGGAGGAGGTGTCTGATTTACATAGGGTGTGAAAAACTGGTTAGACCAGCTGTGCCATTTGCATAGGGTGTGAATTTCTGGTAGCCCCCACTACCCCAATATTTTATTATGCAGGTGGGTTCTCTGCCTGAGCTGTGCCATGTTGCCCATTTCTTTGTTACTGTACATATGGCAACAAACAAAAAGGGAAGATGGAGCCTCCATGTTGGACATGCCTGGCTCCCAGATAGCTCTTTTCTATGGGTGCAGCTGCCAGCTTTCCCTCGTGCAAGCTTCTAGCTTCCTTATTTATGTTTGTAGCTCGATTTTTTAGGCTGCTCTTTTTTAGAAAAGAAATGATTTTGGGGGCTACCTTTCGTTATAAAAGAAGCTCTACCGAGGACTCCTTTGCCCTCACTATCTGCCTAAATAATTTCTTTCTACCTCCTGTATCATTACTTGACTTCCCTGGTCAGTTTCTTTCTTTTTAAAATAAGCTGGGCATAGCCTTGAGGGTATGTAAGTTGCAGTATCACATCTGAATTGGGGGAATCACTGCCTGAATCACTAGCTGAATTTGGGGAATACTGTTCGTTTTCCGTCACTTCAGTAGAGGAAGTAACATTGGAGGCGGAGCAACTTTCCTTAGTATTTCTTCCCTGTTGCTGCCTGGACACCTGCATTTTCTTACCTTTAAAACAGACACCCCTCATGGTAACCTGCAATACACTCTGTCTTTGAATATTTTGCCTTTATGTTCCCAATAAATGACAAGAAGGATCTCTATGTCGTCTGATTTGGAAAGTAAAGGAGGGTCCTAAGTACCAAATGTCTACCTGAATGTGGCCAGGTGACAGGAACCCTTGCGGGGAAATAGAAGGCATCTTCCAGGACCAAAGTCTCTGGTTGAGGGACGGTTCTGGAAGAAAGCTAATGTATCCTGAATCTCTCTAATCGTGTTCTCCAACCCTCTTGTACTCAGGATATGGGCTGCTCATATGGAGTAGGGCTAAAACCATGAGGGCATTTTGAAATGTGAGCAGGGTTTGCTTCTCATGGACAGTCCTTGGCCAGAACGTCCCCAGGGATGTAGATATCCGTGGTATAGTTCCCATGATGCCCAGCTGACATCATGTCAACAAAATCTTCTTGGAACACTTGGAGCCAGACCAATGTTGACCTTTAAATTACCCCAGGATCCCAGAGGTCTCCAGTGATGGAGAAAAGTGTCTTGGCACTCTAACAATGACCATTTGGCAGGGTTTGCGGGAGGGCTAAATGAGGCTTGTTGTATTTCTATGAAAGGCCTGGTACCTGGTGAGTGATAAACCAGTCCCTTCATGCTTTTTGTTTATAATCTTCACATCATTTCTTTAAAAAGTAAGATTTTAAAAATAGTAATTTCACAGCCTTAGAAATTTTAGAAAGTTTATTTTAGGTTTAGGCACAGTTTATAATTCCGTATTATAGATGAACCAATGAACTACAGTTTAATGGGGTTTAAGCCAACACAATCACCCCAAAGGTATTTGAACATTGACTTGTGAAAACTCCTTCCACCTTTACTGAAACTGTATTTTTTTTTTAGTTGAGTGGAAAACAAGTCACAAGCCAGAGAGTAGAATGGTTCCCAGAGAGCCGATAAAATCCATAAGAAAGGACATCAGGAGACAATTCTTCTGACTGCCAACCAAAGAGAATCAACACTACATTCTGCCCTGAATCCAAAGCACGGCTTTTGGAAAATAAAGATTTATGATCTGGATAGAGGCAGCGATGAATCACTTGGCGATACGTGTTTTCTGGCACAACTTGTCAAAAGTAACGAGCCATGGTCTGTTCCAGAGTTCAGGTGGTTGTACATGTTCTCTGTGAAATATGGAATAGAAGGGAACACAATTTGTCTGAGCCTCTGCACAGCTGTCCTCCAATTACCGAGCTTCTGCCCCTGTCGCCAGTGAAAATAAATGGGCTGATAATTACAGCCTCAGACGTTCTTGGAGCCTGCATTTCCCTGCACTTCGCCAGCCTGTGCGTCTAATGGGGTCACATTATGAGTCGTAACTCAAATTTTATTGTCTCTTACCAACGCCCCCTTGCCCCTCTGTTCACCCCAGTGACCTCCATTTCAGTGCCTCTCAGAGTCTCCCTGGGAGGAGACTTCCTTGCCCTTGAGTAAGTGGCTCCTTGGAGTGCTGTCCCTGCAGTGAGCATTTGGGGTCCCCCTGGGCACATTTAATGTCCCTCTATCTTTTGCTGGGCCCTGTGGTCTTCCACAGGTACCTTCACATCTTCCTCTGGGCATTGCTTCTCATTCACTGGGCCCTCCTGGTGCCAATACTGTGTCGTGGTCTGGGGCAGGATGAAGGAGAATCAACACTTCTCTGTGTGTTGCTCTATGCTGTGAGTGTGCACAGGTACATGTGTGTGTTTGTGTGTGTGTAGGTATGCAACCTGTAACACATGCACCATGAAGTCCTACCATGACGCTGGTTTTTGTTTTTTTGTTTTTTTTTTTTGAGATGGAGTTTTGCTCTGTTACTTAAGCTGGAGTGCAAGGGCTCAATCTCGGCTCACTGCAACCTCTGCCTCCCGGGTTTAAGCAATTCTCCTGCCTTAGCCTCCCGAGTGGCTGGGATTACAAGCGCCTGCCACCATGCCCAGCTAATTTTTGTATTTTTAGTAGAGATGGGGTTTCACCATGTTGGCCAGGCTGGTCTCGAACTCCTGGCCTCAGGTGATCCACCCGCCTTGGCCTCCCAAAGTGTTGGCCTCCTATAAGTATTTTAATGAAACAGCCTTCTATATTCACTTATAGCCTTCCTTCTCTCTCTAGGACCCAAGGAGGAGTCCACGTGCTCCACTTACAGCCCCTATGTTCCAGGCTCGCTCCTTCTCCCCTAGAATGATTCTCTCCCAGGAAACGCCTTAGTCCCCTGTACAAATACCAGTGGAGGCTCAAGCTGGGACTTGCGCTAACTTTTTATTTTTAATGAAAGATGCATAGTCCTTCTGCAAATGTTTTCATGGTGACCTAGGAATCCCTTCTTGGAAGGTGAAGAAATGAACCGCCTGGAGACAGAGGCGTTGTGGCACTTAGTCCTGGGCTGGCTCCGGCGAGACCTTGGTCCTGGCTGTGTTGCTTGGCCTGCCCAGTAGACAGCTGACCCCTGTGTCCCCTCCTCTCCCGCTAACTCTGTTAGGAGTGGTATCTGTTCTTAGGAAAAGCCACTCTGAGCTATCACAAATGTAATGTTCCTGCAGGGAATTCTGAGGAAATGTGAAAGCAGAACACCTGTTTGGCATCCTGATTTTATATTGCTTTTTAATTAACTTCATTTATGTATCTAACATCAACAAATAGCCTTTAAAAAAATAATTATAGACAGGGAAATTGAGGGAAAAAAATCTAGGAAGTCTAAAAACCCTGAGCCATGCCAAGGTATCTGTCTTATAATCCTCAGTAGCCCTCCCTGGAAATAAACTCAAAAGAGATAGAAAATGGAGAAGACATTAGTATCAAACTAAATGGATGCCTATTTCCTTCCAGAGTGTGGGCATTGTTCCAGGACTTCAGCACTCCCTCTGTCTTCTTCCAGGATGACTTCACGTCCCACCATTGACTTTCACAAGCCATGAAGGACATAAGTCCAGGTCACAGATGGCTGGTCATCGTGAGTAATGCTTCCAGGCTCCAAGATCTCACTCTGGGAGGATGATTGATAGGTGGTTAGGGAAGATTGCACTTAACCTTTCCAGAAGTTACCATGGAGCCAACTAAACCAAGCCAAGCTTAAAAAAAAAAAAATCACATGAACCGTGTTATAATAGCAGTAACAGGGATTTTTTTAAAAAGCACCCAGAATCCCAATGTCCCAGTACAGTACATATTTTATTTTTCCTGTGTTCATGTATAAGAAAAAAAAAAGTAGAAAGAAAAGAGATTTGAGACTTTGAATCAATGAATGTGCTACACTGTGTGGCTATACATAGACATAAGTAGAGTTAGTTGGGTAAAAAGCTGTATAGCAGATATCTTCATTTATTCAAAGAGATATAAAAAACAACATGGAAAAGATCTATTTTCACACATCCTGAGTTTTCTTTTGTCTAAGAGAAAGAGGTATCATAATTTCTTTTACTTTTAAAGGAAAACAGTTTATTGCTAAGAACTTTTTTTCTGATTATAAAGTAATATACACTTTGATACAAAATCAGTAAAAATAAGGAGAAGAAAATAAAAATCACTTGTAATTTTCTCCCCAGGCATGACAGTTATATTTTGTTTATAAAGTGTCTTCTCTGTGAATGTGGACTTTAAAAACTAAATTTGGTTATAGTCTCCTAACAATGTTTATTTCTGGCCTTTTTCACTTACTGTTATTTCCATAGCATTTCCTCAATGTCACTAATATTATTTGGAGTCATCATTTTATTTTTAGTTATTTTTGTTTTATTACTATTATTTTTTGAGATAGAGTCTCACTCTGTCACTGGAGTGCAGTGACGCGATCTCGGCTCACTGCCTCCTGGATTTGAACCTCTGCCTCCCGGATTTGAACAATTCTCCTGCTTCAGCCTCCTGAGTAGCTGGGATTACAGATGTGAGCCACCATGCCCAGCTAATTTTTTTTTGTATTTTTAGAAGAGACGGGGTTTCACCATGTTGGCCAGGCTGGTCTCGAACTCCTGACCTCCAATGACCCACACACCTTGGCCTCCCAAAGTACTGGGATTACAGGCATGAGCTACTGGGCCCAGCTGTGAAGGCATCATTTTAAATGGCTGTATAATATTTCATCACACCAACAAAGATTTTCCAATCCTGAACATTTCATTCCAATGTTTGTTATTATCAATATCACTACAGTGAACAAGTTTGTACCTTCGTCTTTGCTTGAGTTTCAGGTAAATTCTTTAGGGAAGATTCTTAGAAGACGTAAAGACAGTCTGCTATTAGCTTAAATGCTGACTTTTAAAAAAATTATATTGTCAATTGTTTTCTTCAGTTTTACATCATAACCCCTGACTTTTCAAAGTCTAATTTACAACTGCTGCTTTCAGCTCTTTTTGGATAATGCAAGGTCCTTATAGCACTTTTCTAAGTTTAACCCCTTTCCAACCCATGTGCCATCCATTTCTGAGTATTTGAATTCTCTATTTTATATACTACTACACCTTTTCTTTTGTTTTAAGTAGTCAAAACTTGTTCATGGATGGATGCAGTGGTTTACGCCTACATCCACTGGATGCAGTGGTTTACGCCTCCTCACCTTGGGAGGCTGAGGTTGGTGGATTGCCTGAGCCCAGGAGTTCAAGACTGGCCTGGGCAACATGGCAAAACCCTGTCTGTACCAAAAAATACAAAAATTAGCTGAGTGTGGTTTTGTGTGCCTATAGTCCCAGCTACTTGGGAGGCTGAGGTAGGAGGATCAATTGAACCTGGGAAGTCGAGGCTACAGTGAGCTGTGATGGTGCCACTGCACTCTAGCCTGGGCATCAGAGCAAGACCCTGTCTCAAAAAGAAGTTATTAATATTTGCCTAAATACTTTCCATTTTCAGTGGGCCTCTGGTCTGAAAAAGAATTTTGTCTTTGTATTTCTTGTAGAGCAAGTTGCTAGTGATAAATTCTCTGCTTTTGCCTGTTTGAAAATGTCTCTATGTATCTCACATTAATTATTGCTACATACTTTCACCAGATATAGTTGACAGTTACTTCATTTTCTTGTTTTCAACTTTTCTGTTGAAATTCTCAATGTTGTTGATCTCCTTGAGCCTTGTAACCATAAAGACTGTGTTTCATAATACAGTATCTGGAATCCTGCAGGTCTGTTTCTCTTGACTGTTATTTCTGCTCCTTTTCATTATGTTGCCTTATATATTCATGTGTGCTGGGTTATTTTTGATTGTGCATTTACAAAATTATTTGTGGGCTGGGCACGGTGACTCATGCCTGTAATCCAAGCACTTTGGGAGGCCGAGGCGGGTGGATCACGAGATCAAGAGATTGAGACCATCCTGGCCAACATGGTGAAACACTGTCTCTACTAAAAATATAAAAATTAGCTGGGCGTGGTGGCATGTGCCTGTAATCCCAGCTACTCGGAAGGCTGAGGTAGGAGAATCACTTGAACCCGGGAGGTGGAGGTTGCAGTGAGCTGAGATTGGGCCATTGTGCTCCAGCCTGGGCGACAAGAGCGAAACCTTGTCTCAAAAAAAAAAAACTGTAGACATAATATGAAGCCTAGGATGATTTTATTTTCCTCTGCCAGTCATGTGGGTGGCATTAACCATCAGAGATTTCCTCAGTAACAATTTTAGGGATTAAGGTCATTCAGCCCACTTTTGGGGGCCGAGGCAGGCAGATCACCTGAGGTCGGGAGTTCCAGACCAGCCTGACCAACATGGAGAAACCGCGCCTCTACTAAAAATCGACAAAAATTAGCTGGAAGTGATAGTGCATATCTGTAATCCTAGCTACTTGGGAGGCTGAGGCAGGAGAATCACTTGAACCTGGGAAGTGGAGGTTGCGGTGAACCGAGATCACACCATTGCACTTCAGCCTGGGCAACAAGAGTGAAACTACATTTCAAAAAAAAAAAAAAAATCGTTCAGCCAAGTGGCAGTATCTAGATATGTCTCCCATTACTTTACTCCTAGGATGCAGCACTTTAATGCCCTAACCCAAAGAAAGGAGCATTCACAGGACTTCCGCCTTCTTAACTCTGGACTCTAAACCTATTGCTCTGTCAGAAGCAGCAGTCAGTGTCTTAGCTGGCTTTAGAAATTGGCAAACACTTTTAGGGGAAATCAGTCCTAAATACCAGCTGACTTCCCCAGACCTCTGTATATCCTTGCCCAGTAAATTCTTCACTATCTTGTCTACCTGTTGCAAAGACTTTTATATTTTGTTCGGATTTTCTAGGTATCTTCATTGAGAAAGTTGGTCTGAATTACTTAGTTTGCCATGATTTTGCCTTAATATTAGTAACTTTTCAAGATTGGTTTCTTCATCCATGGTATTCCTCTATCTTTTCCTGCCTCCTGTAAGACCTTCCTTTGTTAATGCTTCCGCTTCTCCTCTCCTGCAGCTTGGCAAATTGTACTTAGATAAGTGCTACTTCTGCTAGCAGCGCTGCTGGCTAGCATTTACTGAATACCTTCTGATATGGTTTGGATCTGTGTCCCCACCCAAATCTCATGTCAAATTGTAATCCCCAGTGTTGGAGGTGGGGCATGGTGGGAGACGATTTGATCATGGGGGTGGATGCCTCATGAATGGTTTAGCACCATCTTCGTTGTGCCGTTCTTCTAATACTGAGTGAGTTATCGCAAGATCTAGTTGTTTAAAAGTAGGCAGTACCTCCCCCATCCATCTCTCTCTTGCTCCTGCTCTGGCCATGTAAAACATGCCTGCTTCCCCTTTGCCTTCCACCATGGTTGTAAGTTTCCTGAGGCCTCTCCAGAAGCAGAAGCTGCTATGCTTCCTGCATAGCCTGCAGAGCCATGAGCCAATTAGACCTCTTTTCTTTATAAATTACCCAGTCTCAGGTATTTCTTTATAGCAGTGTGAGAACAGACTAATATACCTTCTATGAACTAGATGCTCTGCAATCACAATATATGAATTATTTAAATTAAGCCTCACAACAACTGTAAGAGGTAGTTACTATCATCACCAGCCCCATTTAAAACTGATAAAACAGATTGTTAGAGTTGGTGTTATCTGCCAAGGGTTACATAGTTAGCGATAAATCGGAGTAGAGATTCATACCCACGCTGATCTCACTTGATATGATTTGGCTGTGTCTCCATCCAGATCTCAAATTGTAGCTCCCATAATTCTCACGTGTCATGGGAGGGACCTGGCAGAAAGTAATTAAGTCATGAGGGCAGGTCTTTCTCGTGCTGTTCTCGTGATAGTGAATAAGTCCCACGAGATCTTATAGTTTTATAAAGGAGAGTTCCTCTACACATGTTCTCTCTCTTGCCTGCTGCCACGTAAGACGTGACTTTGCTCCCCCTTTGCCTGCTGCCATGATTGTGGGGTCTCCCCATCCACGTGAAGCTGTGAGTCCATTACACCTATTTTTTCTTTATAAATTACCCAGTTTCAGGTATGTCTTTATTAGCAGTTTGAGAACAGACTAATACAATGCTCCAACCCCACAGATCCTAACTTCCATACCATACTGCTTAAGTATTTCCTCTTCTACTTTCTTCTTTCCCTTTGCGTATGTACACCCTCAGTATTTCCCCGTCTTAAAGAAAAAACTAAAACAATGTATTTAAACAAACTCCACCCCTTTGATTTCACTTTCCTTTCAATAATACACTTTTAAAACAATGAATCGATGCTTCCTGTCTTTTTGTCATTGGCTTTCAGCAATTTGACTACAATGTGCCTTGGTATGGTTTTCTTTGTATTTATCTCGGCTGGGATCATCTGAGCTTCTTGAATCTGTTGCTTATGTCTTTCACCAGTTTGGGAAACTTCTAAGCCATTACCTCTTCAAGCATTTATTATGCCCTATTGTCCGGCTCCTTCTGGAATGCCAATTACCTGTATCTTAGACCCTTTGACGTTATCCCACATGTCTCTCTTAGTCCTTTCTATCTCTTTCATGTTTTTGATCTCATCTCTGTGTTTTAGTTCAGACAATTTCTGTTGACCTTCAGGTTTACTGATTCTTTTTTCTGCGATGCCTAGCCTTCCTTGAGGCCTATCCAGGAACTAGCTGGGCCAGGGCTGGGTTGCAGCTTTGGCTAGGTTTAATTTACCTCTGAGTCTGTTTCCCAAACATCTTGAGTGTAGTATATCCTGCTTGAATTATAGGTCCTTTCCTTTAGCAGGATTCTTGTCTAGGCACAGTGAAGCTGTGGAGATCTTTCTGTTTCTTAGCATCGTTCACACCCTAACATGCAGCTACAATGGCTGCTGCTGTGTAATCCACAAAACATCCCGTGGGGGAGAATAGTGAGTGGAGAGAATTAGCTTTCCTACAGATTCCAATCTATCTTGCCACTTCCTGGGGGCTATTCAAAGCTCCTCTGTTTTCTCCATTTGCCAACAAAGTTTTTAACTCTGTCCTCCCAGATCCTCTATCTGCCGATTTCTAGACTTAGCAGATGCCCTAGGGGAGAAAGTAGCTGCTGGTCTCTGGTCACCCAGGAAGCGCCCAACATTTAGTCCCTTTAGACCTCTTTGCATCCATAGAAGTCCAAGGTCTTTTAAAAATAAGTGATATTTTAACGTATCTATTTTCTCCCAGTCACTTTAGGAGGTGTGTTGATCCAATGTGAGCTTTTATGTCTTATCTAGAGGCAACACACCTATGGATACTCCCCCCGATTTTTGAACACCTATTTCCTCCTAACCCACTCAACTCTGGATCTGTTTCTACCACTTGCTTGAAACAATATTTCATAAGGTGACCAATGATCCACCTGTTCAGAGTTTTATTCCAGGTGTGTGTCTAAAATAATGACATCATCCACTGCTCCTTCCATTCATCTCTTTCCTTACTTTGCTTTAACAAGCACAAAATTCCTCTCTGCTGGTGTTGCTGCTTCTTGAACCACTCCTAGTCTTTAACATTTTGTCTCTTTTTTTTTTTTTGAGACAGAGTTTCACTCTTGTTGCCCAGGCTGGAGTGCCATGGCATGATCTTGGCTCACCGCAACCTCCACCTCCTGGGTTCAATCATTCTCCTGCCTCGGCTTCCTGAGTAGCTGAGATTACAGGTGCCCAGCACCACACCTGGCTCATTTTTGTATTTTTAGTAGAGATGGGGTTTTGGCATGTTGGCCAGGCTGGTCTCAAACTCCTGATCTGAGGTTATCCATCTGCCTCAGCCTCCCAAAGTACTGGGATTACAGGTGTAAGCCACCATGCCCGGCCTTCAACTTTTATTTATTTTCTGCCTTAAAATCAAACCCAGTGCCATGCCATTCTCGATGGCAGTATCTTGATGCATCTATCTTTGCCAGATCTGCTTTAAGTGGTGGAGAAAATTTCTGGCTGTGTCCTTCTCTGTTCTCATATTTATTAAGGAAAGAATACCAGGTAACAACCTAGGATAACACAAAGCAGAAAGGGTGAAGTCCAAACCACCACTTCCAGGATCAAAGCTAGTTACAATCCTGGCTGATCTCAGTTCTGATTTGCTTCAGATCCTTAAAATACCACTGCTTTATTTTCCTCCATGTACACCAGCCAAGTATGACCTTCACATTGATGGAGAAAGGAAGCACGTGCTCCAGGAAGGAACCATGGGAGCTCAAGTTTCATTGTTGCTTTTTGTTCCCGGGGGCAGCACAGGGCATGTCCCAGAAAACCACACTGGTGATATCTTAGCCATGAATTCACAAATGTGAGTGCCCTAGAGGGCAGAACTGTATTTGAATTTAGGCTAGACAGCCTGACTTCTTTTTTTCACTTGTGTTTGATAAAATACCAGGTTGACAAAAATGTCAATGGAAATGAAAGGAAGAAAATGAAAGTTACAGTGGGGCTGGATGCAGTGGCTCAGGCCTGTAATCCCAGTGCTTTGGGAGACTGAGGAAGGAGGATCACTTGAGGCCAGAAGTTTGAAACCAGCCTAGGAAACACAGGGAGGCCCCATCTCTACAAAAATAAAAATAAAAAATTAGCCTAATATAGTGGTGTGCACCTGTAGTCTCAGCTACTCAGGAGACTGAGACAGGAGGATTGCCTGAGCCCAGGAGTTCAAGAATATAGTGAGCTATAATAGTACCACTGCACTCCAGCCTGGGCAACAGAACGAGAACCTGTCTCAAAAAAGAAGTGCAATTGCATTTTTTCTTTTTATAAAAGATGATATATATTCAGCTAGAAATGACCAAGTGAAAGCTGAGAGTATAGAGCATGGATGCAGAGGCTTAGCCATGCCTGGGGAAGTGCAGTGTGAGGAGGTTTGGAGGGTTACATTGCTCCGGACCACACTTTGCTCTCTGTGGATTGGCGAGTGCTTGCTTGCCTGTGTGCCGGATTGGAGGGTAGTTTTCGGTGTGGGTACACTGCAGAGTGGAGCCAGCCTTAATGACATGGTGATGGAAGTAGAGACCACTGGGGAGCTTTTCCAACACTGCCCCAGTGCCTGTTCCTCCACATCCAGGCCCAGGACCTCAGTACTGCTTCCATGTCTTGGCGGTTTGCATGTTGTTCTCTAATTGTTAGTTGACTCAAGTGTAATCTGTTCCCAGGACAGGTATGCTGCCAATGTCATCTTCTATCTACTCCCCAGCTTCCACTATCTGCCTGGAAGTCAGGCACAGCCTCACACCAGGTACTGGGACCAATTTTTCCTTTCTTCATTCAATAAACATCCACGGAGCACCTACAATGTGTCCGGCACAGTGCTACCTGTTGGAGATGCAGAAGTGGGCAAAACACTCCCTGCTTCATGGAATTTAGCTTTAAGTAGGAGAGACTGGCTAAAAAAATGCATGTGAAGGAAGGTGGTCAATGCTCTTTAAATACATGGTAGACTTATGGCGAGAGGGAGCAATGGCGAATTGGCATTTTAGACGGGTGGTTAGGGAAGAGCTCTCTGATACAGCCACATGTGAACAAAGACTGGGTGGAAGTGAGGAAGGCAGTACAGGTGTATCAGCAGGGAGAGTGTTCCAGGTGAGGCCTGAGTCAGGGGCATGCTTGGAGAGGTCCTGAAGGGTAGCTGGTGGGCCTGGAGCAAGATGAGGGGAGGGAGAGGAAAAGCTTAAGGGAGACAGATGGTATTAGTCCATTTTCATGCTGCCAATTAAGACATACCCAATACAGGGAAGAAAAAGAGGTTTAATGGACTTACAGTCCCATATGGCTGGGGAGGCCTCACAATCCTGGTGGGAGGCAAGGAGGAGCAAGTCACATCTTACATGGATGGCGGCAGGCAAAGAGAGAGAGCTTGTGCAGGGAACCCCCCGCATATAAAACCATCAGATCTCATGAGACTTATTCACTATCATGAGAACAACACAGGAAATATCCACCCCTGTGATTCATTGCCTCCCACGGGGACCCTCCCACCACATGTGGGAATTGTGGGAGCTACAATTCAAGATGAGATTTGGGTGGGGACACAATCAAACCATATCACAGATAGTAGAGTGTGGTGCCTTGAGGGACGTTGTAAGGAATTTGAGTCTTACTGCTCCAGATGGAAACACCATTGGAGGGTGTCAGGGCAAGGGAATGCTGGGACCTAATAGTGTTTTAATGGGCTCTGTGTGACTGCTGGCTGGAGAAGATACTAGCCAGGGAAAGACAGCAGCAGGGAGACAAGTTAGAGGATTAGCTCAATAGTTGGGTAGCTGTAACTTTCTGAGGAACAGCAGCTAGTGATGCCATGTTCATCCTGGTGACTATAGTTTCTTGTCCAAATGCTGCCTATCTTTTATTCTCTGCATTCTGGAGACTGTCTCCACCTTGAGCTCTGTGCCTGAACAACCTTTTTTGCCAAGGTGCCTGGAGCCCCACTGCTTCCTTTCTTACCTGTCCCCAGAGCCCAGGCCTGTGGCTGTGGCACTGTTACCTGGGTTGCTTCAGAGGTCAGCATTTTCCCTGCTTCTGAGCCAGGCTCTGTGCCAGGAGCTGGGGTTCAGAGATGGACAGGACAAACACAGTTCCTGTCCTCAGAGGGCTGACAGTCTAGCAGGGGGATATAGAACATTAAAATAGCCATGAAACTAACCCACACCCCCCAGCTAAAACCATTGAATACCTTAATTACATCCTATGTATTAGGTTGGTGCAAAAGTAATTGTAGTTTTTGCCATTACATTTAATGGCATTACTTTTAGGTTCTGTGAAGGACCAAAGAAGGTTAAAATAAAGAGGGAGAGGTGGGAGAGGAAGAGAGAGTGACTTATTTTAAGGAATGAGGTTATATGGCTCTGGAAGCTGGCAAGTCCAAAATCTGCCGGGCAGACCAGCAGAAACTCAGGCAGGATTGGATGCTACAGTCTCGTGGCAGAATTTCTTCTTTTTCTGGAAAACTCAGACTTTTTAGAAGGTCTTCAACTGATTGGATGAGGCCCACCCACATTTAGAGGGTGATTTTTCTGCTTTACTCAAGGTTCACTGATTGTATTCTTCATATCTAAAAACACCTTCATAGCAACATCTTGACTGGTATGTGACTGAAACCTGGGTGCCACAGCCTAACCAGGTTGATGTATAAAGTTAATAATCATCATGCAGCAGGAGGAGTCATAGACAAAATCCTTCAGACACTGGATTGAGGAAGGAAAGAGCTTTATTCACCTGGGAGCATCGGCAGATTCATGTCCTAGAAACCAAGCTTCTTGAATAAGTAATTCCTGTCCCTTTTAAGGGCTCACAAGTTTAAAGGGGCTGCATGAAGTGGGGGTCATGGTCGATTGAGCAAGCGAGGGGTACGTGACTGGGGGCTGCATGTACCAGTAATCAGAACGAAACAGAAAAGAACAGAGAATTTCACAATGCTTCCTCATGCAGTGTCTAGAATCTATAGATACCACAAGCGGTGAGGGCAGGGGTTGACTTTTAATGACCAGGTCTGAAATGTGGTGCTGGGCTGTCTGACTGTGAATTTCACTTCTGCCTATTCTTTTAACTTCTACCTTTTCAGCAAACAAGAAATTAAGTATAAGACAATATGAGGAGTGGTCTCCTCTCTCAATCACAGGGTCTTAACTATAGACAAGGTGGGTGCAGGAGGTCTCTGTGGAAGGGGATGTTTATAGGGGGATTAAAAGGATGAGAAGGAGCCAGCCATGGGACAGAGGGAGAAGTCCCCTGGGAGTGGAGGCAGAGAACTTGAAGTTGTGTGTCTGGACTACAGTGAGAGAGAAGAAATGGGGTTGGAGAGAGAGCCAGGAGCTGGCTCACACAGGACTTACTTGTCAGGACCCTAAGTCTGGATTGCATCCCAAGTTCACAGGACACCCCTGGAGGGTTTTAAGTGCAGGAGTGCTGTGAGCTTATTTAATCCGTAGAGAACCCATCTTTCTGCTCTTTGGCGAGTAGAGTCAGAGTGGGAGGAAGGCCAGAATCAGGATGAAGCAGCTGAAAAACTCAAGGCAACACAAAAAGCTGGGTCATCAAAATTGATAATACTTTAATGTAAAATTTTAGAAATAAGATTAATGCAATAAAAAATTCCCGATGAGCCAAATATCAAAATTTTAAATAAAAACAAGATCTGACAGTGCCGTACTGAGCCACACTGAGGCCTGACACACGAAGGAAGATGGGTGCCCTGTTATACTTGTTTTTATATATTTTTAATGGTCAATTTTTTTAGAACATTAAAGTAACTGAAAAATTTGGGGAAATGGGAAGGTAGGTGTATTAAAACTCATGTAATTATTTTACATCAAAATACTCAGAAAACGTATCCATTTCTCTTCTCAGAATTAACATCCATCAAACACACTTTCAATTACTTTGTATTCTGTGTTACAACTTACAACTTTCAATTAAAAAGAAGATAAGCAAAGAAGTAGATTTTGAATATGTTGTTAATGTGTTTGCTTTCATTATATCCAGGAAAGTAAAATTATAGCAAATTCTTTTGGGGGTATAAATAAAATATTTACACTTAAAATAACATTGTGATTTTTAATACCTTGTTCAATTGTTTCAATATTTTGAATTATTTTTATGCTATGAAAAACATGTTTAAATTATATGTTAAAAGCCCGTATATAGGCTGGGCACAGTGACTCACACCTGTAATCCAGCACTTTGGGAGGCCAAAGCAAGTGAATTACCTGAGGCCAGGAGTTCAAAACCAGACTGGCCAACATGGCGAAACCCCGTCTCCACTAAAAATAAAAAAATTAGCCAGGCCTGGTGGCGCAAGCCTGTAATCCCAGCTTCTTGGGAGGCTGAGGTGGGAGAATCGCTTGATCCTGGGAGGTGGAGTTTGCAATGAGCTGAGATCATGCCACTGCACTCCAGCCCGGGGGACAGAGCGAGGGTCTGTCTCAAAAAAAAAAAAAAAAAAAAAAAAAAAGGAAAAAAGCCTGTAAACAGACGTGCACAGTTTTCCTTTAGCCTCTGCAAACATCGTAACTTGGCATGGCACTGTTGTGTCCTGTCTTTATGTAAAATTTTTGTTTTGTTTATCACGGATATATTTGTGCTAACTTAGATTTTAAAAAAAACTATTGCATTAAAATATTATTTATGTCGATTGCTGAGTGGTTTTGCAACCTTTCATATTTTGCCTGTGAGGTGAGCACCTTACTAGCTCTGGCCTGCAGGGGAGGGGAGGTTCTTGAACAGCCTCTGTAGCAGCCCAGGTGAGAGAGATGGCGGCTTGGGCCAGGTGTTGGAAGTGGAGCTGCGGAAGGCTTTGAAGGGGGCAAATCCGTCTCACCATGTCGGTGGCGGCATTAGCATTACTTCTTGCTATGAGGATACTGATGTGCCGGTTCTTACTCTTCGCTTTCTGCAGCAAGGAGAAAGGATGTCATTTTGCTTTCGTGTTACAGTTTCATGAAAGCTGACTTTTGATATCCCATATTCATTTTTCACTTAGGCCAAGTCTTTACACCCATAAAGTCAGCAATTTTCTTTTAACAATTCGGATATTGAAGTAGGGAGGAAACGTAGTCTCTAGGAGATTCTCTTTCATAGTCAGGCTGTGTGGACCGAATAAATGCGGTGCCAGAGGCCTCTGATCATAATCACGCCAAGGAAATAATCCATTCCATTAAGAAGCCCGGCGCCATAAATAAACCAACATGCCGCTGTAGGCTTACAGGACTGTGTCCCATCTGAGACTCAAATGTGGATGTAAACTCAGCCCGTGGTGATTACTACGAGCGTCTGATGAGTGATTTTTATGAAGTCTTCTAAGATGTAAGAGTGATGGGCGAGGGGAGTACAGTAATGATCCTCTGTGCAGAGTTCCCATGGATATGGTCATTTTGACATGGATTGGTAAATTTTCTGGGTGATGAGGTTTTTTTTTTTTTCTGAATATCTCATTAATTTTTTTCCTTTCATTTTCCTTTTCTGATTTTTTTAAAGGAAGCTGATTTTAGTTGAAATGACACGCTCCTGTGGAAAGAGCATGTGCAAATTATCTTTTGTTGGAAACGAAAGGGCATGACATGAATACTTTTCCTCCGAAGGGTTTCAGAGAATGCATTCAGTCTTCTGGACAGAGAAATAATTGGCTCCAATTAACTATGCAAGGAGGATTCAAATGTAATTTTAAAAGCAAGTGTCTTTTGGGTAGCTTACTTTCCAGGCACAGGTGGGTTACGGCTTCCAGGTTTCGCCTCTCCCCAGCTGCTGCTTATCGGTCTGAGACACTTACAGAATCCGAAGTAGGGAGGGGTGGAATTTCAGACCCAGAAAGGGAGTTTTCAAATCAACTGTGACTTTGTCCTTGGATACATTCACTCTGCTTTGGGAGTCAGTTTGGAGCTAAGGACCATACATTCCTCAGGGCTACTGCTTCTCAGGAGAACTGGTAACAGAAATCCTATCTTTTCTTTATTACATTTATTTAACAAATGCTTGTCACCTGCCCATGATATGCCAGGCACGGGGTCAGGCTGCAGGTGTGAGACAAGGAATCTTTCAAACACCTGTGGGTTGGAAACTTAAGGAAGTAGTTTTTGAGTGGATCTAGTGGGACGATTTGTCACGATCATGCCCCCAGGCCCAGGCCAGCTAATGGCTGCAGTCTGCTCTCTCCTTGTGGGACTGGGGCACGTTGGCCACTCTGTGCTCTGCAGTGGGGCCTATCTGCCACCCACCCATTTCCCTGAACAGTCACTGGATCCCAGCTCACGAAAGAAGGACGTCCTTACTTCTCTTCCAGCTGCACCTCCGAAACAGAAGAGGTAATCTGTTATCTGTGAGAAGGAAGAAGACCTTGCCAAAATGAAGCTACTCTCTCGGCCGTTTGCCTCCTTTTCAGAAATGTCTGGTCCTTTACTCATTTTTTTTTTCACTTTTCTTCTTTTTTTTTAAATTTTATTTTACTTTAAGTTCTGGGATACATGTGCAGAATATGCAGGTTTGTTACATAGGTATACATGTGCCATAGTGGTTTGCTGCACCTATCAACCTGTCATCTAGGTTTTAAGCCCCACATGCATTAGGTATTTGTCCTAATGCTCTCCCTTGCCTTGCCCCCAACTCCGGTGTGTGTTGTCCCCCTCCCTGTGTCCGTGTGTTCTCATTGTTCAACTCCCACTTATGAGTGAGAACACGTGGTGTTTGGTTTTCTGTTCCTGTGTTAGTTTGCTGAGAATGATGGTTTCCAGCTACATCCATGTCCTTGCAAAGGACATGAACTCATTATTTTTTATGGCTGCATAGTATTCCATGGTATATATATGTCACATTTTCTTTATCCAGTCTATCATTGATGGGCTTTTAAAAAAATTTCTAATCTTTAATTTTTTTGGGTGCATAGTAGGTGTATATATTTATGAGGTGTGTGAGATGTTTTGATACAGGCATGCAATGCATAATAATCATGTCATGGAGGGTGGGTGTTCCTTCCCTCAAGCATTTGTCCTTTGTTTATTACAGATAATCCAATTACACTCTTTTAGTTATTTTAATAAAATGTACAATTAACTTATTATTGACTATAGTCACCCTGTTGTGCTGTCAAATACTAGGTCTTATTGATTCTATTTTTTTTTTGTACCCATTAAGCATCCCCACCTCCCCCATCCCCATTACCCTTCCCAGCCCATGGTAACCATCCTTGTACTCTCTATCTCCATGTGTTCAATTGTTTTTATTTTTAAATTCCACAAATAAGTGAGAACGTGCGATGTTTGTCTTTCTGTGCCTGGCCTGCTTCACTTAACATCATGACCTCTGGTTCCATTCATGTCGTTGCAAATGACTGAATCTCATTCTTTTTTATGGTTGAATAGTACTCCATTGTGTATAAGGACCCACAGTTTCTTTATTTATTCATCTGTTACTAGATGAATCAATAATGGTTGCTTCCAAATCTTGGCGATTGTCAATAGAGCTTCAACAAACACAGGAGTGCAGAGATCTCTTTTATATATTGATTTCCTTTCTTTTGGGTATATACTCCATAGTGGGATTGCTGGATCATATGGTAACTCTTTTTTTAGTTTTTAGAGGAACTTCGTTCATTTTTTTAATTTGGCTATTTGTGGGATTTTTTTTTTTTTCTTGCCATTGAGTTGTATGAGAATTTGAGTTGTATGAGAATTTTTTCAATTGAGTTGTGTAAGAATTTCCATGCAGCTCTTCCAGGGAGCCTTATATTTTAAATATTAACCCCTATATTAATCTGTTTTCACACTGCTGATAAAGACATACCTGAGACTGGGAAGAAAAAGAGGTTTAATTGGACTTACAGTTCCACATGGCTGGGGAGGCGTCAGAATCACGGCCGAAGGCAGAAGGCACTTCTTACATGGTGGTGGCAAGACAGAAAGAGGAGGAGAGGAGGCAAAAGCAGAAACCCCTGATAAACCCATCAGATCTCATGAGACGTATCCACTATCATGAGAATAGCACAGGAAAGGCCGGCCTCTATGATTCATTTACCTCCCCCTTGGGTCCCTCTCACAACATGTGGGAATTTTGGGAGATACAATTCAAGTGAGGATTTTGATGGGGACACAGCCAAACCATATCAACCCCTTATCAGATACGTGGTTTGCAAATATTCTCTCCCATTCTGTAGGTTGCCTTTTCACTCTGTTGATGGTTTCCTTTGCTGTGCAGAAGTGTTCTCATTTGATGTAGCCTCAGTTCTCTATTTGTGCTTTTGTTGCCCGTGTTTTTGGTGCCATATCCAAAAAAATTATTGCCAAGGCTGAAGTCAAAAAGCTTTTTCTTCTGTTTTCTTGTAGTAATCTTATAGTTTTTGTGCTTGCATTTAAGTCATTAGTCCATTTTGATTTGTTGCTTGTATATGTTGAGAGGTAGGGATTTAGTTTCATTCTTCTGTATGTGAATATCCAGTTTTCCCAGCATCATTTTTTGAAGAGACTGTGCTTTCTCCACAACCTTTCCAACATCTGTTATTTTTTGACTTTTTCATAATTGCCATTCTGACTGGTGTCAGACAGTGTCTTATTGTGGTTTTGGTTTGTATTTCTCTAATGATCAGTGATGTTGAGCGTTTTTTTCATATACTTGTTGGCCATGTATATCCAAAGAGCATTTCTATTGTGAAGGAGGCAAAAACAGGGAGGCACTCTAGACATGGACCTTCATTCATACTGGGAGTAGTTTAGAAAGTCCTGGGCACACGGTTGCCTCCTCTTCAGGTTACCTCTCCAGCTCATTGGGAAACATAGTGGCGGGACGACTTCCGCTGATTCTGAAGTCACTGTGGCCATCTTTCCCAGGAGGCCCCAGCCTGAAGATTTGACCTTTAATAGATGAGTGATTTACAAAGCAAGGGCTTTGTCAAGGTCACCCAGCAGAGGATGCGGCAGAGCCCAGACAGGGGAACTCAGTGCCTTGATTGAAGTTCACTTTCCTCTCACCACGTGACACAGAAAGTAGCTCAGCAGAGTAGAAGTACCTGAGCAGAGTAGAAGTACACAAGGCTGAGGGGCCTTGTGTTTGTCCCAGCAGAGCCACCAACTCCCTGTGAGGCCTCGGGCAGCATCTCCTGGCATCAGTTTCCTTTAGAATTTCAAGTGGTAAACATGCGGCATCTGCATGCCTGGCCTAGAAGCAGTGATTCATTCTTCACTAATTCAGCAGTTGCAGTGACTTTGTAGAACGTAAGTACTGCTGATAACCAAAAGTAGACTGTACTTTAAAATGCCAAGCTGGCCTGGGGCCCTGCCAGCTGCCCTCTGTCAGCCTAGAAAGGCATGGAAGGAAAAGAGTTTGTCAGGCCCTTGACTTGTGACCCTGACAGTGCCAGCAGGACCTGAGGACCTCTGTGATCCTTCTGCATGGTGGGCAGGGCCAGCCCTGGCTGAGGGAGAAGCGCTGACCATACTGCCAGGCAGGAGAGTGGCTCTGCTTGCTGGAGAGTGGAAAGTCTCATTCCTTTCTGAAGAATTTCCACTCAGCTCTTCCAGGGAGGCCTCAGCTGAATCAGAGGGACCCATTTCTGTTCACGTGGTCAGAATGCCATATCCAGAAACACCTCTGAATTCGACTTTCTTTTCTCTTCCTTTACGGGAATGAAGTGTGACCATTTGATCGTTAAATGTCATGGTGTGTGTGTATGTATGTATTTGTGCATATGTATATGTGGATGTATATGTGTGTGTATTCGTGTATGTCTGCATGTGTGTGTACTGTGCATGTGTGTGTTTATGTGTATCTGTGCATGAACATGCATTCACATGTTTTACCTGTGTGTGCATGTGTTGTGTGTACATATGTGTATTTGCATGTGCATGCATGTACATGTGTATATTGTATACAAGTGTATGTGTGTATGTATGTGTGTGTTTATGTGTGTGCTTATGCATGTATATGTGTATATTGTGTGTGCACATGTGTGAGTGTGCACATGGTTGTGTGCACATGTGTGTATGCATGTGTATGCATGCATGCATGTACACGAGAATGTTGTATGCAACTATGTGTGTGTTTATGTGTGTGCACATGTGTAGGTGTTTGTGTGCATGCATGTACATGTGTATTGTGTGCACATGTGTGTGGTTGTAATTGTATGTGTACACACATGTATGTGCATGTGTATATTGTCTGTGTATGTGTGGTTGTGTATGTGGTTGTATGTGTGCCCACATGTGTATGAATGTGCATGTGTCTATTGTTTGCACGTGTGTACGTGTGGCTGTGTGTGTACATGGTTGTATGGGTGCCCACATGTGCATGTATGTGTATATTGTGTGAACGTATGTGTGGTTGTGTACATGGTTGCATGTGTGCCCACATGTGTATGTGTGTGCAGGTGTCTATTGTGTGCACGTGTGTATGGGTGGTTCTGTATATATATGGTTGTATATGTGCCCACATGGGTATATGCGTGCATGTGTCTATTGTGTGCACGTGTGTATGTGTGTGTGGTTTTATGTATATGCACATGTATGTGCATGTTGGAGGTGGCATGTTAGGGTGGAAGGGGAAGGTAACCAGCAAATGTGGAGAGTTTAAAGGCAGAAGAGAAACATGGACTTCCTGAGTGAGGCAGCTCCCACAGCTGGGACTGAGTTAAAAGCTGGTGTCATGATCCTTTCACATCCCAGCATTTGCACCACCACCCAGATGGCTCTCAGCCATCAAAAGGAGAGAGCCACCTCCCCTGCCCTTCCTGCCCCTCTCCTCCAGCTGATCGTCCCTCTCCTTTCTTCCTGTCTCCCTCTCCTCCCTCCCTCTCCTCCTTCCTTGCCGGTGCTGCTTTCTCTCACTGTCCTTCCCTTCTCCCGCCTTGGCTGCGACTGGATTTCTTTGTAGCTAACTGTTCCTGGCTTTAAAGCCAGCTTCTGTTATACGTCCCCACCCTGTGCTCAGCTCACATCCTATTTCCTTTGTAGAGAACGTGAAACCCAGTAGGGAACCCCAGGCCTCCCTGATCCCCTTCCCTCTCTTGCTTCTAGGACCTGTTGCTGAAAGCCAAATGCACAGAAGAAAGTGGGTGACAAATGGTGATACAAGACAACGAGCACCTGCAGTGTCCTCACGGGGAAGAGCAGGGAGGGTGGGTGTCAGAGAAGGCCCTGCAGGAGCACCTGCAACATGGCACCATGGGCCAAGCACAGGGACTGGGGACCTGTTGAGGACAGCTGTGGGCAGGGGCTTGCCCAGCCAGGCCCTGCTGCTATGGTGGACTTGGACCTCCCTGAAGGTGTCGCCTGCAGCAGCAGACCACGGTGGGGACAAATGAGAGGACACCTGCTTCAATACCACAGTGTGAGAGAGTCCGGTAGGGCATCGAGTTCTGATGTCCCTTCTTTCAGCAGTAACAGGACAGACTGGCAGAAGAGGGCCTCGGGCTCGGATGCCATAATGGGTGATGGAGTCAGCCAACATTGCTCCTTCAGTGTGCATGCCCTTGTTCATTTGCTTATTCACGACAGATGGTCCCTGGGTGCCGACTGGGTGGCAGGAGCCGTTCTAGCTGCTGGGGACCCTTGACTCCCCCTGACTGAGCCACCTGGGCATTGCCAACTGGCCTTGGAGAAAGTGACTTCATGTTGGGGGCCAACAAAAGACCGTACCATTTGGGGTCCAGACCGATTACTTGGAAAGCTCCTGGCTCCCTCCCTCTGACCTTCAGCAGCTTCAAGGTCAGGAGTGGTTTTTGGGCTGCCAGGGCTTTAGATGTGGCCACCTGTCCCCACTTGCCAGGCAAGGGACTGAGCTGACTGTCCCCAGATCCTCATGTTCAGGCCAGAGTTACTCAACTTCTAATCATTTTATTAGTTAACAATTTGTGAGACTTTATTATGCAAAGAGTTTGATGGCTAAAACAATGAAAAACCCACTGTCCTACTGAATCAGCCTCTGATTAGGCAGGCGGTGAATGTGATTTTCTAACCCCGGTTCAAAGTCTAACCTGTGGCAAATCAATTCCTTATTACTGCCTCACGTATTTTATCTGGGGAAGAAGGGTAACAATGATTAACAGCTTGCCTAGGTATCTATTTATATATTCAGAATAATTTGAAAAACAATGAGTTATTATATACTCATTTCTTCTTTCTCACAGTTACAGTAACAATGGACAAAACAGTGTTTAGTTTTTGGAAGAAAGAAGCAAAGCGCTTCTAAATGGCTGATTTCTGCGTAGTAATAGCCTAGCTCCCAGAACACGTTTGTCTCTAGCACAGCCATATTATCTTTAAAAAGCCCGTGTACATTTGGGCCTCCCACATATCAATAATTAAACGGCATCATGGAATAAATATTGCAGCAGCCTCCTCTCTCCCTCTTCCTTTCCACATGGGCACTTTGACATTTTGTGCTGCCAGATTGCCTGACAAATTTGTTTACCACTGAGAAATAAATTGCCTTTCTAACCCAAAGCGGTGCCCAAACAGTGTCCACTCTTGTAAGAAGACGTAAAAGATATACTTTGATTAAAAGAAAATGTCAACAAGGGGAAATACTGAGCTTTCTTCTTGACTGCAGCCAGGAGCCCTAAAGCAAAGGTTGATACAATGAGAAATTAAAAGTGGTGCACAGAAAAAGCCCCCAAGCCTCCTATCACTTTATAACACAACATTTTCTGGTATATTTTTCACAGAAGTAAAAATTGTTGATGCATGTACCTAAATTCCCTGGCTATTCATTTCTTCATTTTTTGTATTTTTCTTTCTAAATTTAAAAATGATTATGACCTAATTTGTATGTAAAAAAGATTTATATTATATATTTATATTTAAGGTGTGAAGAATGATTGACAGCCATATACTTACTATTCCGTTTAAGGATATTGCTAGTACTTTATGTTCATATTCTCTTCCTTTATCCCCAGAGATAAACAATATTCTAATTTTTATGCTTATCATTCCCTTGCTTTTTATTATAGTTTTAGTACATAAGTATATATTCTTAGATAGTTTAGTTTTTGTGTATTTTTTATGCTTATTTTAATAGTATAAGTATAAATCCTTAGGTAGTTTAATTTTTGTTTATTTTTGATGCTTATATTAATAGTATACTGCTTTTATTCTGTGACTTTTAAAAAAAATTTCATGTTTTGGCTGGGTGCAGTGGGTCACGCCTGTAATCCCAGCAGTTTGGGAGGCTGAGGCAGGTGGATCACGAGGTCAAGAGATGGAGACCATCCTGGCCAACATGGTGAAACCCCGTCTCAACTAAAAATACAAAAAAAATTAGCCAGGTGTGGTGGCACACACCTGTAGTCCCAGCTACTTGAGAGGCTGAGGCAGGAGAATTGCTTGAACCCAGGAGGTAGAGGTTGCAGTGAGCCAAGATTGCACCACTGCACTCCAGGCTGTGTGACAGAGCAAGACTCCATCTCAAAAATAAATAAATAAATAAATACATACATAAAAGAAAAAAATTCATGTTTAAGAAATGTATGCTTAATAAAATCTATTAGTGTATGTAATTGTAATTAGTGACTTTTAATTGTTCTGCAATAGTCTATAGACTTACTGGTGTCTTTTTTTTTTTTTTTTTTTGGCATTATAAATAATGTGGTCATGAACATTCTTGAGGATGCTCCCTGGTGCTCTAGTGCAAGATTTTTTTGAGGGTGTTCCCTGGGAGCGGAACTGCAGAGTCACGGAGATGTGCATCTATGACTTAACTAGATCATGTCAAATTACTTTCCAAAATGGTTGTAACACTTTATGCTCTCAACTGAGTGTGTAAGAGCTCCCCTTGTGCCACAACCTCACCAACACTTAGTATCTTTTTAACTTAAAAATTTTTTGTCTCTCTCATGTTGTGGTGTTAGCATTTAGTGCCCCACGATTGAAACTGAATATCTTTTGTCATCAGCTATTCCCCACTTGTGATTTCATTTCGAGGAAAATGTCTTCTCATCTTTTTTTGTCCATTTTTCTATTAGTTATCACTTTCTTAATATGCTGGGTGCTCATCTTTTTCTGGTATATATGTTACATGTCTTCTGGTTTGGGGCTTGGTTTTTAACATCTTTAGATTGTTTAGTGAAAGAAAGTTCTTAGTTATAATGCTGAAATCCTCAGTGTTTACTTTATAGCTCATTCTTCATGCATTTTTGTGCCAGAATGCCTTTCTCACCCCAAGCTATGAAGATACTGGCATATAAAAATTCTAAAATTTTGCTTTTTTCAGCTAATTCTTAATTCCACTGGGAATCAATTTTTGTGTATATTGTGAAGTATAAGTCAAATGTTATTCCTCGGATGAATAACAGGTGTTTCATCATCAGTTTTTGAATAGTCCATTCTCTCCTGGTGTCTGCAATATTATGTCTGGGCTTGCTTTTATATTAAAGATTTTTTTCCCCTTCACACCCAGGTGCAGAGGGTGAAGTTAATCATCATGGAACTCAGTTAATGGCGCTGATTATTTTTGTCTCATGCAAGCACCTCAGTTATCTTCTCTCTTCTAACCTTCCTTTATTCCTTCTTCCTTTTATTTCCATTTCCCAACACAATTTTCCTCTGCTTCCAATAGGCAATCTTCCTAAAGTATCTAATGTGTATTCTTTTGCTTTATTTGGTATGTGTTCTTTACATACACACACGTACATACAAATATTTATACATATAAAATCAGTTTTATTGAGCCATGATTTACATATAATAAAAATCCATTCACTTATAGTTCATTATAAAAGAAGGAATGTGTTTTAAAATAACATAAGAATGTCTATTCTTACCTCCTCTAATCAATATAGTACCTAGCCAGTGTAACAAAACAAGAAAAAAAAAAAAAGGAATAGACTTGGGGGAGAAGAAAGAAAGCTCTTCTTTTCACAAATGGCATGATCTAATTCTAAAAAATCATTTTAAAAAAGGCTACTAGAACGAGGGGAATTTCTAGTAGTAAAATAAGAATAGATTTAACTTTATTTAAAATCATCAACATGTTTTACAAAGCAGTTATATAATGTATAGCAAAGAATGAGGATTCCAGTTTCTCTTCACCCTCACCAATGGAAGTATTTTCAATCTTTGTAATTTTTTTGATTCTAGTGGTGTGTCATATCTTTTTACAGTTTTAATTTGCGTTTCCTTGATGGCTGCTAATGTTGAATATTTTTTCATAGCCTGTGTTGGCCATACTTACGGTTGTAAGGTGTTTGTTTACATCTTTGGCCATTTGGGTTTTTACCAGTTGCTTTTCTTTTTTCTTAATAAATTATAAATGTTCATATATATTCTGCTAAAAATCTTTAATCAGATATATGTTTTGTAAATATTTTCTCAAAATATATGACTTGCCTATTTTTATTTATTTTAGAGACAGGGTTTTGCTCTGTCACCCAGGCTGGAGTGCAGTGGTGCAATCACAGCTCACTACAGCCTTGGCTTCCTGAGCTCAAGAAATCCTCTCACCTCAGTCTCCTGAGTAACTAGGACTTCAGGCATCCACCACCATGCTTGGATAATTTTTTCTGTTTTTCTTTTCCCTCTCTCTTTTTTTGTCATCTGGTGCAGAAACTGAATAATTTTTTCTTTTTAAAGTGTTTTTGTAGAGACATGGTCTCACCATATTGCCCAGGCTGGTCTCAAACTCCTGACCTCAAGTGATCCTCCCACATCGGCATCCTAATGAGCTGGGATTACAGGCATGAGCCACTGCACCTGGCCCTTATTTTTCAACAATGTTTTTCAAGGACAAAATGAAATCTTTTGATTTATCAAATCAAATTATCAAATTTCCCTTTGACGGTTTATGTTTCCGTGCTCTGATATATATATATGAGATATATATCATAATATATGACATATAATATATACGATGTCATATATTATAATCTGTATTAATCATATATGTATATATAAGACACCTGATGCCTTATATACATAGAAATATATATTATATATCATAATATATGACATCCTATATATTATATAATATATGTATATATACTAGTATATCTCATACATGTATATGTGTGTATATATATGATCCATCTTGAATTATTTTTTTAATAGGGTATGAGGTTGAGGTTGAGATTCACTTTTTTCTCATATGAATGTCCCATTGTTTGAGTTCCATTTGTTGAAAAAACATTTTTTCCCCCATTGAACGACTTCAGTTTCTTTGTTGAAAACTAATTGATCATATATGCATGGGTCTATTTCTATTCTGTTTTATTGATCAATATGTATATTCTGTTTGGGTGGACAGAAAGTTTAATTACCATAGCTTTATAGTAAGTTTTGAAATAATATTAAGCCCTCTAACATTTTTTTCTTCTCAAAGTTATTTTAGCTATAGTAGATCTCCACATTTCCTTGTAACTTTCAGAATCAACTTGAAAATTTCTACCAAAAATGTCTGCTAGGATTTTAACCACATTGTCTTTCCATCCATGAAATGATACATCTCTCCACTTATTTATGTTTTTTTAAATTTTTTTCTCAGCAAAATGTTTCAGATTTTAGTATAATTCACTTCCCAATTTTCAATTTTTTATTGCGACTATATATAAGTACACTGAATTTTTCTATGTTGATCTTGTATATTGTGGCCTTGCTATAAACTCCCTTATTTGTTCTAGTAGCCTTTTTAAAAATGGTTTTTTAGAATTAGATCATGCCATTTGTGAAAAGAAGAGCTTTCTTTCTTTTTCTCCAAGTCTATTCCTTTTTTTTTCTTGTTTTGTTACACTGGCTAGGTACAATATTGAATAGAGGTGGTAAGTATAGACATGTTATTTCTAAAACACATTCCTTCTTTTATAGTGAGTTATAATGTAAGCTGTAGATTTTTAGTAGATATATTTTATTAAGGTGAAGAAATTTCCTTCTTTTCCTATTTGGCAGAGGTTTGTGGTTTTCTTTCCGTGAACAGGTGCTAAATTTTGTCAAATGCTTATTCTGTATCTATTTGAGATGATCAAATGGCTTTTCTTTTTAAACTTGTTAATATGGTCAATTATAGATTTTTTTTCAAAAATGTTAAACCAATCTTCAACTCTTGGGACTATCTCACTTATTGATGATATATTATATTTTTTGTAAATTGCTTGGCATGGTTTGCTAAAATTTTGTTGCAGACTCATACAATTATGCTGCATTGGTCTTCTGTTCCTCCTGTAACAAGTTACCATAGTGCATTGAGTGGCTTGAAACAGTACAGTTGTTTTCTCTTATAGTTCTGGAGGTCAGAAGTCCAAATGCCATTTCAGTGGGATAAAGTCAAGGTATTGACCAGGCTGGTTCTTCTGGAGCTCAGAGGGGAAACTATTTCTTTAACTTTTCAAGTCTTGTGGCCCCTTCCTCCATCCTCAAAGCATGTCCCTCTAATCTCTGCTTTTGCCATCACATTACCTTATCTTCTAATTACCTCCTGCTTCCCACTTACAAGAACTGCTGTGGTTTCATCAGTTGTAACTGGATAACCCACCTCAAAATCCTTACTTTAATCACATCTGCAATATAAGGATTAACGTAACATTTACAGGTTCCGCCAATTAGAATGCAGACATACTGAGGGGCAGAGGGACATTTATTCTACCTACCATATATGTTCATGAGCTCTCTACTTGTCTTTTCTTGTAAGGTTTTACATAGTTTTGGTATCATGGTAGTGCTGACTTCATAAAACCAGTTGAGAATTGGTCTCCTATTTTCTCAAAGTGTGTATGTTGAACTGGTATAATTTCTGCTTTTTGGTTTGTTTGTTTGTTTTTTGTTTCATTTTGTTGTTGTTTGAGATGGAGTCTCGCTCTGTCGCCCAGGCAGGAGTGCAGTGGTGCGATCTCAATCTCCTCCTCCCAGGTTCAAGCAATTCTCACTGCTATCTCCACCACCCCGATTCAAGCAGTTCTCCTGCCTCAGCCTCCTGAGTGCCTGGGACTACAGGCCTGCACCACCACGCCTGGCTAATTTTTGTATTTTTTAGTAGAGACAGAGTTTTACCATGTTGGGCTGGGTGGTCTTGAACTCCTGATCTCAAGTGATCTGCCTGCCTTGGCCTCCCGAAGTGCTGGGATTACAGGCATGAACCACCACACCCGGCGGTAAAATTTCTCTCTTAATTGCTTGGCAGAATTCATCCCTGAAGCCACCTACCACTCCTCAGCAAAGTCTTTCCGGAAACAACAATCTACATCTGAGTTAAGTCCCCCTGTTATACTTTCTAAGATATCCTATGGCTTTTCCCTAGAGCACGCAACACAATTTATAATGATATGCATATTTGTATGATGATTTCTTTACTGTCTGTCTCTTTAACAAGGTAGAAGCAGAGAGCATGTCTATCTCTTTCACTAATGAATCCACAGCGTCTGTCTCTCTACCCGGCACATACTGGTTACTCAGTACTTATTTTTTTGAGTGAATGAATGAATGAGTGAATGAATGAATGCATTCCTGTCCCATGAGATACACCCGTAGTCTTCTAATAAATTCTCCTTTCCACCTTTTTTGTTTTATTTATTATTTGTTTTAGAATATATATATATTTTCTTATTATACTTTAAGTTCTAGGGTACGTGTGCACAATGTGCAGGCTTGTTACATATGTATACACGTGCCATGTTGGTGTGCTGCACCCATTAACCATTTACATTAGGTATATCTCCTAATCCTCCGTTTTTGATGACACTAGCCTAAGCTGGCTTCTCTGTTAGGTTGGTGCAAAGGTGCCATTACTTTTCATGGCAAAAGTCGCAATTACCTTTGCATCAACCTATAGTATCTGGAAGTGTCTTAGAGGTAGTCAGGGGAAGGCTGGTGCCTAGTGGAAGGGTGAGGTTGATAATATGTGTCCAGTTAAATCTAGGTGGTCAGGAGGCTTCAGTGGCCTGAGGAAGATGGGGGAATACCTGGGAAGAAGGGGTAGAGTCAAGTGCCCTCTGCTCCATTCACTCTACTCCATCCTCCCCAGACCACAGTGTCTGCCCTGGGGCTGCCCTCCCTGGCACAGCAAAGGCAAGGCCAAAGGAAGGAGGCATCAGACAGCTTGAGCAGGAAAGAGTAATACCTAGGGCCGAAGCAATTTGCAGCCTGGCTTCCTGTAGACATCCCCATCTCTTCCACCTTGCTTCTACAGGGCCATGTGGTGCCGCCTCTCTCACCCTAACTTGTCATCATCTCCTTTTCCTGAAGACAGATAGACACATGCACACATACACCCATGCACATTTCCAGCTGTGCAAGCACACCTTCAAATGCAATAGATTCAGTGGTGAGAAAGGAAGCCTCTTCCATTCATGTCACCTCAACTTATTAAAATATAAAGAAATGAGGATCAGCTCAGACAGAACTATTCTTTCCAATTTAATTTTTTCTCTGCAGGAATTCTCAAACTCCCGACCTCAAGTGATCCACCTGCCTCGGTCTCCCAAAGTGCTGGAATTACAGGTGTGAGCCACCACGCCCAGCTCAGTGGGAATTCATAGACAGCCTCAATTTCCTCAGCTTGGCTTGCTTAGGATGGTTTCGGTGTACACAGAGTGTCCCAGTGGTCCTTGCTATCACACCCGCCTGATTCATTGCTGTTGCTCTGGGATCAGCCACCAATTACCAAATCTTGAAAATTTGCAGGGAATTGAAAAAGCTCCAGAAAAGAAGCTCAGGGAAAATAAATGTGTCCTCAGATGCCCTTTGCTAACTCAGTCTGAGAAGTGTAGATTATGTTGTTTGAAATACTTTCCAGTCTTCTGGGAAGTGTCCCCTAGTGGAGTCTATGAAGGGAATAAAGTCTTTGTGTTGTCACACATTGCTCTGCTATTTATGAGATGACATAGATTTGAAATGAAAGACTTATTAAGTCCCGTGGTCCACTTTGCCAGGAAAGACTTCTTTCATTGTAGTACTTCGTTTAGCCTGTAGTATTTGTGCATTTTACCACCTATAAGAAGTCAGATGGAGCAGACTTGCCCTGGGTCAGAACCTAGTCCAGCTCATCCTTCGATCTGCAGGAAGCAGCTCATTCAGTAAAGGCAGCACCAGCAGATGCTTAACAGATGTTTGCTGAATGGAATTAAATTGATAGTTCATCTAAAGCCAAGTCTTTGGCATACTGAAGAATTTCTAGTTTGTTTATTGAATTAACACTTATTTTCTGTAATATATGAAGCACTGGGTGTTGCTTTTTTGATAACTTTTTAATATATGCATAAAACAGATTCATCCATCTTAAATAAATAAGATAAAGTACATGGTACAAGTTTATGCTTAATAAAGCACTTTATGCTGATCAGCTAAAAAATAGAATCAATTCTTCTTTAAAAATGAGAGTGAACTCTGTGTAAAGAATGTGACCCACACTCTGTTTTCGTCTCCTTGTTTTTTTCTAAAAGCAAGTCTTAATCGACCCCACAGGCAAACAAACAAAAAAGATGAATGAGAAACTGTAAAAAATACTGAACTTATAAAGTGCTCTTTATAATATAATATGACAAAGCTTGCAGAAGAATTTCAAAGGATATTAACAGGCTTCTCACAAAAGAGATGGAAATAAACAAGAGATTTCAGTTTTGTACTCTGCACACTTCTGTATCATCGCTTAAATTTTTATCAGCAGAAAAAATATTTCTTTTAAAAATAAATACATAAGAGCAGGCCATGTACAACATTTCTAGAAACAAATGTTATGGGCAATGCCTACATTTAGATTCGGTGGTCTCATTCTCAAGACTCATCGTAAAAGACATTGTTGTAAGGTGACTTCAGAGTGCAAGAGTTGTTGCTTTACACGTTTATTCATCTCTGGCAACTGTGAGGGAAGAAGTAGAGATCTCTATTTAGGCAACACTGAGTAAAGCATGTGGTCAAATAAAAAATTGCAGAAGCATCTGGGTGTGGTGGCTCATGTCTGTAATCTCAGCACTTTGGGAGGCTGAGGCGCGTGGATCACTTGAGGCCAGGTGTTCGAGACCAGCATGGCCAACATGGTGAAACCCCGTCTCCACTAAAAAAAAAAAAAAAAAAAAAATATATATATTAGCCAGGCATAGTGGTGCATGCCTGTAATCCCAGCTACTTGGGAGGCTGAGGCAGGAGAATCACTTGAACCCAGGAGGCAGAGGTTGCAGTGAGCTGAGATAGTGCCACTGTGCTCCAGCCTGGGCGACAGAATAAGACTCTGTCTCAAAATAATAAAAAATAAAAAATTGCAAAAGCAGAGACTTGCCCACATATTAAACATCCCAAAAGTGATTCAATGTTTATTTTAAAACTTTCTTGGTGTTATTATGATTACTTTTTTTTTTTTGAGATGGAGTCTCACCCTGTCACCCAGGCTGGAGTGCAGTGTCACGATCTTGGCTCATTGCCAAGCATGAGGCTGGTCTGAAACTCCTGACCTTAGGTGATCTGCCCACCTTGGCCTCCCAAAGTGCTGGGATTACAGGCCAAATTATTATTACTTTTAATGGCAAAAACTGCAATTACTTTTGTACCAACCTAATGCAACACAGCACCATCAGGTTTAAATAGAATTCCTTTCTTTGCATTAATGGCTTTCCTTAGAGTCTCTATTAAAAAAAACAAATAGCACAATAGCCTCAAGAACTGTAGCCTCACCACTCTTCTGAATTGCTTACCTCTTTGCTAATTAGAACTCAACTGGTTCCGTCTACAGCTTCATTTCTTTTCACCATACGGTGATTCCTTTTGAAATGTTTGCTGATATCTGGTCCTGTCTCTTGATTTTAGTTAGCAGTGCTTGGGAAATCCAAATCCTTCCATTACATTCTCAGGCCATACTACCTTTTAAATCGGTGTTCACATTTATTATTCTGCCATCATCTTGTTTTTATTTGCCAAAATAAATGTTGAAGGGCGGCCAGGTACGCTGCCTCATGCCTGTAATCCCAGTAGTCTGGGAGGCCAAGGTGGGAAGGTCACTTGAGGTCAGGAGTTCAAGACCAGCCTAAGCAACGTGGCGAAACCCTGTTTCTACTAAAAATACAAACATTAGCCAGGCGGTGGTGGCAGACGCCCGTAATCCCAGCCACTGAGGCAGGAGAATCACTTGAACCAGGGAGGCAGAGGTTGCAGTGAGTTGAGATCACACCACTGCACTGCAGCCTGGGCAACACAGTGAGACTCCATCTCAAGAAAGAAAGAGAAAGAAAGAAAGAAAGAAGGAAGGAAAGAAAAGAAAGAAAGAAAAAGAAGAAATGTTAGAGGGGAAAAAATGCCTTAGGGCATCACCACGCAGGGCCAGCTTCCTAGGCCAAACTCCCCAGCCTTCTTCGAACGTTCTGCTGTTGCCATCCTAACATTCTTAATACTTATTGAACAAGGGGCCCACATTTTCATTTTGTACTGGGTTCCTCAAGTTATGAAGCTATTCCTGTCACACCCCTGACCCCCATCCATTTCTGAGACAAGCAGAAAGCTGGAATTGGATGGAATGCTAGAAAAGCCAGCATCGATGTGGCGGAGAGCACAGCATAGATTTTTGCTGTGTTTGTTCATATTTGCTGAACATAGCATCTATGGCCGTACGTGAGGGATGTATGGGTCCCTCAAACTACCAGCTGTTATTCCTTAAAATATACCTGAGGTCTAAGTACATGTTCATGCAGCTTGAAAGCAAGAGAGAGAGAGATGCGTACAAAAGCGGGACAGGAAGCAGCCCAGAATGGTTCATGCGGCTGCACTTCTTTCAAACACTGGGACCCTACCAAGCAGAGTACAGTCAAATATTTCTCCTTACTTTGTGTTACATTCTGATATGTAGAAGTAAATTCTATCCATATGTTTCTGAATTATTTATACCTAACTCCTCAAAATATTATTCTTCAAGACCTTTGGAGGTCTAAAAAACTCTCGAAATGCATTTATATTTTCTTGACCCCTTTTTGTCGAACTCAAAAATAGAAAATGGAGGATTACACCAAATATGTGGAAAAAGTTGTAGAATATGGTTTGGAATTCAAAATGTGGTCAAGTATTGTTCCTGAACATGCCTTAACAACACTTGACCACATCCTGAGTCCCAAACCATAGGTCGATTAGCTAAAACACCAAATCAATAGACGTCTGCTCTCCTACCTCCCCCATCCTCCACCCCCCTGCAGCCCAGCTCTATCACTTCCAGCACAAACATGGCAGCTCCCTCTAACTCTGGTTGACTTGCAGTATGTGCAAACCGAGATAAAGCATTCCTTCAAGACAGCCTTCTCTCATAAAAACCTCAATGATGGATCTGAACAGAGAGAATAATATATGGTCTCTGATCATCGGGTGACAGGCAGCATGCATCCTATTTCTGCCTCTGGTGACATTGGGTGGGCTTTTATCCCTTTAGGACATTGGTCCTCAGACCCAGGATTAAAAGACCCTTCTGCCCCAACCACTCTGTTTGGCCTTTGGTTTCTTTGTTAGTTTCCATTGTGTAAACATCTGAACCACAAGGGGCTTTAATTGAGTGAAAGGCAGAGTTCCAGCTCTGTTCTGTATTTACTGGAGGTACCATGGGCAGAATGATGTTGCCCGGCCATTGCAACACAGAGATGATAGTATTTTCCTTTGAAACCGTGGTATGGGTGGAACCCATCAAAGGATAAGTTGACAGATACGTCTCACATATGTTTATATCCCCTCCTGCTTCTTAGCACAATTCCTTACCACAGAAAACTCTGCATATATATTTCTGATATGAACAAAAAGCTTTCAATACCATAAGCAGAAGCAAAGATGAAATTTTTAGTGATGGTTTCTAAGGGAGCACCAGAAAATTTTTCAAAATTCTTTTCTTTTTTCTTCTTTTTTTAAATTTCTTTTTTTTTTTTTTTTTGAGACAGAATCTCGCTGTTGCCCAGGCTGGAGTGCAGTGGCACAATCTCTGCTCACTGCAACCTCCACTTCCTGGGTTCAAGCGATTCTCCTGCCTCAGCCTCCCAAGTAGTTGGGATCACAGGCATGCGCCATCACGCCTGGCTAATTTTTTTGTATTTTTAGTAGAAATAGGGTTTCGCCATGTTGACCAGGCTCGTCTCGAACTCCTGACCTCAGGTAATCTCCCCGCCTCCGTCTCCCGAAGTGCTGGGATTATAGGTGTGAGCCTCCGCACCTGGCCTGAAAACTCTTTCCTAACCCTCAATGCTGTCACAAAATTTTCTGCTAAAGAAAAATAGCCAATTAATCGAAGACCACCTAGTCATATTTTAGAATTTTCTCCAGAAAGGAAGCTGCAGGAGGACAGGCTGCTTCTCTGTTTTGATTGTTGATGTATCCCAAGGGTCCAGAACAGTACCTGGCATATATGGGTGCTCAATAGACATTTGTCGAATGACTATCAGATGGTAGACATTTCTAGAAGCCATGGCTTTTCACTAAGGATGAAAGCTATCATTTGCCACCTATTTTAACCCCCTTTTGCCCTCATCCCACCCTGCTCCCCGCCAAAAAAAAAAAAAAACCCTTCAAAAAAGAAATCTCCCTCTGTAGCAGACCACCAAACCTAGATCAACTGTGGTCTCCAGACCTAGAGTATAATAGCTTTGAAAAATATTGCAATTAACAATGAAACACAACTTCTTAAATTCATAGTCACTTATAGACAATCGCAGTAAAGAGAGGATTGAAGCTTTTGAAATAGATTTCATTTTCAACAGGGTCCAAATTATTTTTTTCTGGTACATTTTCATTTTTGTCTGAATTGGTCTGCTTTATACTTCATACAAAGATAGTCACTGTGGTGTCTGAGGCAACACATACACATTATCATGCCATTTATGTGGTTGTGGGGGTAGGTTTCTTTTGCATCCTTGACTTTAACCTCATTATGAGGCTTTTCATTTGTCTTCCCAACTAGAAAGTTTTAAATTCCTTCCATCACGATGAAGGGATACTGCCTTCAATCTAGACTTTAAAAAATCCATTACATCCCAGTGAACGGACTGCCTTCCACCTAGATTTAAAAAAAAAAAAAAGTGAATGCACAGTGTATTGAATGGTGAGAAGAGCTGTGGAAAAGAACAGATAAGAGAAACAGACAGTGATGAGCTCAGAGTGGAAGCTGCTGTTTCAAACTGGGTGGTCAGGTAACCTCACTGAGAAGCTGATATTTTCACACAGCCATGAAAATGGTGGGCAAGTGGCTCACGTGATTATCTGGGAGAAGAACATTGTAGAGGGTAGACGGAGAAACCAGTGCACAAATCTTATTTTTAAAATGTACTTTTGCTGAACCACAGTTTTTAAGAACCTCATCTTATGAAGCAGCACTTGCCTTTATTTGTCTAAGAATGGTAGCATTTTCTAACTAGTGCCTAGTACAAGGTGTGCTCAAATTGTTAACTTCTGTTCATGCTTTTAGCCTCAGTATTATGGGATTTGATACAAAGGTATGTTGTTTTAGTCCATTTTGTGTTGCTATAAGGAAATACTTGCAGCTGGGTAATTTATAGAGAAAAGGGGTTTATCTGGCTCCTGGTTCTGCAGGCTGTACAGGAAGCATGGTCCCAGCGTCTGCTTCTAGTGAGATCCTCAGGCTGTTACCACTTGTGGTGGAAGGTGAAGGGGAGCCAACGTGTGCAGAGATCACACAGTGAGAGAGAAAGCGAGAGAGAGAGAGAGGGAGGCACCAAGCTCTTTATAATAACCAGTTCTTGTGGAAATGACTCTCCCCTATAGGGAAGGCATTAATCTATTTATAAGGAATCCACCCCCATGACCCAAGCACTTCCCATTAGGCCCCTACCTCCAAGACCAGGGATCAAATTTCTGCACAAATTTTGATGGGACAAACATCTAAACAATAGCATATGGATTTACTCTGATTTTATCTTTCTGAGGTCACAAACTTTCTTAACCTCATCTCCAGACTGAGGCCCATTTTCTTCTTGCTGTCTGCCATGTTTTTTTTGTGAAAGGCCTACTCTGCTATCTTCCCATTGACGTTAGTTGTCATTACCCACTTTCAGTTTCAGGATTTTGTGTTAGACTAGGAGGATAATATCTTATGCTGCATTTGCAATCCTTGTTCATGATGAAGCAAATAGCATCATGTTTGCTATCTAGGATCCCATGTATATTTGAGTTGAGTGCTTTAGGGAAGAATTAAATGATTCTCATATGCTTATTTATGAGCCACTGTCTTCATCTGGAATTGTTTCATTGCAATGAATGGAAACCAACTTATTAATGTCTAGATCCGTGGTGTTCCACCACAGGCAGTATTCTCCTACCCTGGGGGCATTTGGAAATGGGTGCAGAATGTATTTGGTTGTCACAGTGACTGAGAAGTGCTCTGTCATTTAGTGCCCAGGGGCTAGTAATGCTAACGTACTTCAAGCTAATGGATGGTCCTGCACAATGAAGAATTGTCCCACTAAAAATGCTTTTAGAATTCTGTTGAGAAACACTCATGTCTGAAAGAGATTGGGGTTTGCCATAACCCAAATAACACTGGGTCACCTTCTGTCCAGTCTCAGCCAGGCTCTCATTAAGAAAGAAATGCAAGACGATTTCCTAAGAACACTTTGGAAAATAAAATCTTTACCAAAACAACCTGAAGGGTTCCAAAAAAGAGTTCCACTTAAACAAATGGTAAAAACTTTTTAAACTCTTTTCTAATGTCTCATTCATTATCCTAACAGCCTTTAGTCTTATTTAATTCTCTCAAAAGATCTCAAACTTCTCCCCAGTCTATCCTGGGTATATTTCTCCAGCGCAGGCTCCCACCTTGAGTAGTTTTCTTTTCTAATACACATCAAGTCTAATCATTCTGCCTTCTTTAATTCTGTACTGGCTGTATGTACCAATTATATGAGTGTGTGTAAATGTGAATGTGGATGAATGTGAGAGACAGGATGAGGCTATAAATACTCATATTTATCACTTTTACAATGGCACAGCAAAGTGGAGATTGATTAAGACTACAGGTAATCTTTTAAAACCCAGTAGCATTCACTAGGCAATGCAGATATGCATTGATATATCACACTATACTCCATAAATATGTATAATATGTGTCAACTTTAAATGTACTAAAACACACACAAACCCAATGGCCAGGAGTATAGCAGTGTATCACAGTGACCAGGATGCCATAAGGCATGCATTATCTCTAACCCGTTCTTTTTGGGTTAAATCTTTCCTCTGTGATCTGTGATATTCCCCACTCAGTTACCAGCTTTCTCAGCCAGCTTCCTGGTTCCTGATCACCATGACTTTACCTTGTATTTGGTTTCTACATGCCAAGTGGTGCCTAACTTTATATGGCCCTGCTTTCAATTCAACACCATCTGATGAATTCACAGTTTGTTTCTCACTTTCAAATTCCTGTGTGGGAGGATCTCATGGGCCGGTCTAGGTTGGGTGCCACCTTCCCCAATCCTAGCAGCTGTCATAGGTGGGCTTGCCCCTTCTGAGCTGTGGGTGAGGCAGATTCTTGAACAAGGGATAGCGATGACGAAGAAATAATAGATATCTTCAGTTTAGCAGTACACGTCCACTTAGTTCATGGTGAAACTAAATCAATATTCAGAAATTCCAGCTCAAGGTTAAGACAATAACTTGGGCTCATTATTCCTTTAAAACAACCAAACTAATCCGGCCAGCAGATTAGTACAGAAGTGCAGAGAAGCTTAATGTGATATGCCTCATTCATTTCTGGCCTTTTATGTTCACAGAACAAGTACAAAGCTGAGTTTTAACCTTTATTTTTGACTTTTCCTGGTTTTCACCCAGTTTGGTCAAAATATTAATACTTATAACATCAAGGGTGGTCTGATTATAAACTCTAGGAAAATTCTAAAGATAGTCCAGACTTCTAAAATGGAGATGAGCTGCTTACTTAGTAGTAGTGTATTAACTCTGGGGCACTGAAGATAATAATTTTAATAGCTACAAAGTCATTAATTAATATTTATGGAGAGACAATGAAGTATACTCAATTTGGTGCCCTGTAACAAAGAATCAAGTTCCTTGCCTCTAACTAGTATTTGTTAAACTTTTATTACATGAGACAACAATCATTTGCATTATTGACTTGGGAAATAAAACCTAAATTATTTTTATGTAGACAGTGAAAGAAAATAAATTATAGTTATTTTTCTTATAAACTGATGCATAGAAGATGTATATAATTTCATGTGATGATTTAATACATTCATATAATTTGTAAGGATCAAATCAGTGTACCTGGGATACCTGTCACCTTAAATATTTGTCTTTTCTTTATGCTAGAACTATTTGAATTCTTATCTTCCAGCTATTTTGAAATATATAATAGCATATTGTAAACTATAGTCACTCTACTGATCTATCTAACACTAGGTCTTATTTCTTCTAGCCAATGATATATTTGTACCCATTAACCAACTTCTCTTCATCATCTCCTTTCCCCACCCCTTCCTGGCCTCTGGTAACCATCAATCTACTCTGTATATTGATGAAATCCACTTTTTTAGCTCCCATTGATGAGTGAGAACATGTGATATTTGTCTATCTGTGCTTGGCTTATTTCACTTAATGACCTCCAGTTTCATCCATACTGCTGCAAATGGCAGGATTTCATTTTTTTTATGGCTGAACAGTATTCGACATTTTATTCATCTGTTCATCCTTTGATGGGCACTTGGATTGATTCCATACTTTGGCTGTTTTAAATAGTGGTACAATATCTAGTTATTCAATCAACTTGAAGACCTCAGAAGTACTGCTAATATAACTAATACTCAACTTTTATTGAAACAGAGAAAGATAGCATTGACTGTGACCTTAGATCTAATTGCAGCCTCTTGTGTTTTGGGGAGATTGAAGCCTGGATAAAGGGGCTATAGGGCCAGTTCAAAGTCACATTGTAAGGGGGTCTCCATTCATAATAGCACATTCACCAGTGACTGTGGTCTGAAGTTGTTAGGTGCTCTCTAAGTAGAGTAGAAAGTTGTTTGGTGAGAGAGCCCCAATCATTGCAAGCTGTAGAGGTTGTTTCCATGTTATTTTGGGTGCTTCCTTAATTAGAAGTCTTAGGATTCTAAGAATGCTGAATAGTGATCAGCTTTACATTATTTTTGTAAAATCATATTCTAGTGTGTCCAAATGTGTTTGACAATTTTTGTATTTTTTTTTTAGGTTTTTGTTTTATGGTTTCAAGTTTTGTGGGTTTTGTTTTTCAGAAAAGCAAAATGAATTCAGACAATTATCTGGGACTATAAGCCATTTAAGAAAGAGCTAATGGAAAATAGGGCCAATAGGTATATGCTAATCAAATAGCAGACAAATAGGCCCAGGAATAAAAGATCCTCAAAAAGCAAAAGTAGAGAAAGGGCCTTCTCAGTGGAGAACAAAACAGATTTTCACATAGATTAGAAGCATCATACCATAGTTACCTACTTTCTAAAAAAATTGAGGCTACATAGAAACAATAAAGTATATAAAATGCACTAATCATAAATGTTCATCTGGATGAGTACGTGAGTGAGTGAGTGTGTGTGTGTGTGTGTGTGTGTGTATTTTCATGCAACCACTACCCACATCAATACCTGCAGTATCCCATGGAGTTGTCCCTACCCTACCCAATACCTGCAGGTATTGTTTGGTTCTGACTGGTAGCATCATTGGATAATTATATTTCTGACCTAAAAGGAATTGAAGTTTTAAACTAGGAAAGTCTAATAAGTTATTTATCATTCATCAGTTTAACAAGTATTTAATGATTGCTCTATAATAAGCAATCAGTGTACAGGCAGTGTACAGGCACTGGCTACTCAGTAGTGAATACAACAGAAATAATTTCTCATTATTATCAATAATGCTGCAACCATCCTTATTAACATTTTGACAGTCTTAATTTCCTTCAGTTTTGTCCTAATTGTGTATCTTCATAAAATATCTTGTAAATATCCATGTATATTATCTTTCTATAGCTTTAATATTGGGTTTGAAATAATTTTTTTGAAGCATAAAGGGCTTGACTTTGAATGTAGACAGAATTAATGAGAACAAGGGAAGGCAACTGTTCCTCTCTTAATCTCCTGGGATCTCTGGCTGTCAGGACCAAGCAGCCTTAGCTACAGCACAATTATTAACCAGGAGCAGCACATCCGTGGTGAAGGCAAAGTGTCCAGACTGAAAAGAATGGATGTTCTTGTTGTGAGTTATATTCTTAGTCACTGTGGTGCAAGAGGAGAATAGTCAAAGAAGGTTGCAAGAAGATGAAGATGGAATGTCATAGGGGAATGCTGCATGGATGACAGCTTCTGTAGGTGGAAATAAATCTCCGCACCTCATTTCATTTTTGAAATACACAGGTTTTCTCCTAAAGGAGAAGTAGGAGGTGAATCTTGGCTGTTGTGTCAGAAGCTTCTCTGTAGTACCCACATCTCAATGACAATGGGATGCTTGCTGAGTGTCTTCCCCCCCACCCCGCCCCCCGAAAGGAAGAAATTCCTAAGATAACTGTAAATTCCAAATACTTTTCTGGGCCAGTGCTCTTGGAGATTTCAGTCCTATCATAGGTAGTCAACGTACGACTTTCTTAAATGAGAACCAAATTCAGATGCAGTTGTTCTTAGGTGCAGTCATTCATAGAAAGGAGAAAAGTACTTTTCAGTATTTTACCATCTTACAGAGATGTCTACTCTCATTCATTCTAATAAACAATGGGCACAATGGAAAGAAAGCCAATCTATCTCCATAAGGAATGGGTTCCGGAAAGTGAGACTTGGTCTACGAGGATTTATGGGGGCACCAAAAGCAATCACCAGACTGGTCATTTAGCATTTACCAAAAAGATTTAGGAAGAAAATAGGGAGAGCTTGCAGACCAGTGTCCCAAGGAACTGTTGAGAGTTCGCTATTCTTTTTCTTCTGAGAGGGAATCAGTGGCAGTGGTAAGCTTCCCAGATCAACACTTATTTCAGGCAATTAAATAGAGGGACTCATGATTGACATGTTTTCATGTTATTCTTTCCTGGCTTGACGTAGAGAATCTACTGGAATTGGGCTAATTTACAAATGAAGGGGTTTCTTTTCTCTTTGGTTTATGGACATAATTGTCTCCATTAGCTTTAACGGAGGTTCAGGGGCTGGATCTGAAATAGGATTGATGGCTTACCGTGGAGGGCTAGCTCTGCGCTCTTAAAACCATAGAAAGGAAATGCAGCGTACATTTCGATGCCCTACCTCTGCTCTGTGAAGAAAATAGGAGCTGTTTGAAAACACGTACATTTTTCTCTATCAGTGCCTTACAAAGAAGTAAAAGGAAGCCCCAGTGTACACAAGAACAGTTTTGTGTGGCCATTGAAAAGATTAAGGATCATCTTAAAAACATCACAAACATTTCGTGTTGAATAATGAGATATAAGCAGCAATAAACGCAGGGAGCCCAACTTCTGCATCTTGTCACCAATACAAGTGTGTCTCCAAAAGGTCAGGTGGGCCAATGAAAAGTTTCATATAATTCAGAGAGTGGCAACCTAATCTCTTAAGAAATGAATATGAGCTATTATCTGGGAAGTATTTCACAGTGAGGGTCTCTGTTTTGTTCTAAGACTGTGTATCAAGAGTGCTATAGGCATTTGGACAAGATAATGAAGTTCACACTAAGTTAGGAAACCAGCTTAATTAATGAATTAATCATCACATGGCGTTATGTACTCTGTGAAAATGACAATGGGCTGTGGGTGAATGGAACTCTACTTAGGATTTAATTCATTTCTATGAATGTTAATTGTCTTGTCCATGGTCTGGCACATATTTGGCACTCCACAGCATTTGTTGAATGAAAGCATGAATGACTGCTTATAATATGCAATGCATTATTCTAATCAAGAGAGTCAAATATGGCTGTCGGTCTCAATAAAGTGTTTTAGGAAAGTGGTCTGGATCCAGACCCCAAGAGAGGGTTCTTGGATCTCACGCAAGAAATAATTCAGGGAGAGTCCAGAGAGTAAAGTGAAAACAAGCTAATTAGGAAAGTAAAGGAATAAAAGAACGGCTACTCCATAGGCAGAGCAGTGCCCAGGCTGCTGGTTGCCCATTTTTATGGTTATTTCTTGTTAAATGCTAAACAAGGGGTGGATTATTCATGCCTCTCCTTTCTAGACCATATAGGGTGACTTCTTGATGTTGCCATGGCATCTGTAAACTGTCATGGCGCTGGTGGGAGTATAGCAGTGAGGATGACCAGAGGACACTCTTCTGGCCATCTTGGTTTTGGTAGGTTTGGGTAGGTTTACTGATACCTGTTTTATCAGCAAGGTCTTTATGACCTGTATCTTGTGCTCACCTCCTGTCTCATCCTGTAACTTAGTATGCCTTAATCATCTGGGAATGCAGCCCAGCAGGATTCAGCCTCATTTTACCCAGCCCCGATTCAAGATGGAGTTGCTTTGGTTCAAATGCCTCTGATAAAACCACAATACAACAGATGCATATACAAACCTAGCGAATCCTTTTCCCAGCTCTAATAGTTTAAATACAAATATAAAGCAGATTATCCTAAGGGAAGTTTTTTTTTTTCTTTTTTTCAGAAGTATACACCAGGTATAATTGGAGAACTAGAAAAGGGAGTGACAAATTCTGTCTGAAGAGTTCTAGGAAGGCTTCAGGGAGGAAGCAATAGTTGACCTAGATAGCTGATAGAAACAAAAAGGGAAGACTAAGCAGAGGACCACAAGTGTGGAGATATACACTCTTTAATTGTATAGCATAGCTAAAGCTAATTGGGTGTGTTTGGGAAGACCATGTAGGTGGAGGAAGGTAGAGGTGGACACGTTCTAATCAAATTGTGAAGGATCTTGACTATCATATGAAGGACTTGGGTTTTTTTTAAATTATGGAATAATTTTTTAAAAGAGGCTGATGCCATGATTCAATCTGAGTTTTAGAAGGGATTCTCACATCAATGTAGATAATATATTGAGAAGGAGAAAAATGGTGGTAGACGATGATATGCATGTAGAGCCATTTTAATAATCAAGTGATAATGATGGTGATCTTTGCAAGGGCAGGAGCAGTGGCAATAGGGACAGGGAAATAATGTACCTACCATCCCCCACAGCCCCCATCCACCCATCCACCCATCCATCCCTTCACTCAATCAACAGGTCTCTGAACCTCTGCAGCCAACACCAGTACTTTCTCAGCAGCCATTTTATCTCCTTTATTTTTCCAACAAACCTTGATTTCTTTCTGTTATTGGGCAGCCACGTACTTTTGGAGAAGCTAGACTCGCCCTCAGTCCCAGGCAGCTGATCTCAATTAACCTAAACCATTAATTCATCCATGCAATATTTACTGGCTACGTTTTCAGTTCTAGGCATTGTTTCTGGAACCAGGGATGCAGCAGTGAGATGAATAGCCATGATTCCACTGATTAAGATGCTCACACCCTCTCTTTGGGGACACTGCCTTTGACTGGATTAGTTACAGTCAGATTTGTAATGCTCACTTATATCTTTTTTTTTTTTTTTTTTTTTGAGACGGAGTCTCGCTCTGTTGCCCAGGCTGGAGTGCAGTGGCCCGATCTCGGCTCACTGTAAGCTCCGCTTCCCGGGTTCACGCCGTTCTCCTGCCTCAGCCTCCCGAGTAGCTGGGACTACAGGCGCCCGCCACCACGCCCGGCTAATTTTTTTGTATTTTTAGTAGAGATGGGGTTTCACCATGTTAGCCAGGATGGTCTCGATCTGCTGACCTCATGATCCGCCCACCTTGGCCTCCCAAAGTGCTGGGATTACAGGCGTGAGCCACTGCGCCCGGCCGCTCACTCATATCTTAAGCTATTTCCTGGGCATAGATTTCCCCTTGCAGTTAGGCATGACCAAAGTGACTATTTCTGGCCAATGGGCTGTGCATGGAAGTGACAGCATAAATTCTAGGCTAGCGTTCTCCCCCACTGCTGTTCTGAATGAATGGGCCCCACATTCCCAATGGTCCAGGCTACAGCTTACCAGGCTGAATGTCCGTGTCTGCGTGGAGGATGGTGTCCCAGAGAATCACCCTTACTTGAGCAGGCTTCGCTTGAAATAGAAACAGGCCTTTGTTTACACAATAATTAAGATTTGGAGTGTTGATTCTTACTGTAGCAAAACCTAAACTGACTAATATAGTGATCAACACTAATATTCAGGTATTAGCTAAGTGCTGTAGGAGGCTTGGGAAAGTAGCAACTCACAGATAAAAGGAGTCAAAAAGAAAGAAGACTTTGAAGGTGATGCTGGAGCTGGGTCATAAGAATTGAGTTAGCTACGCAGATATGCAAGTAAGAGGCTTCATTGTAGTGGAAACATGCTGGGCAAAAGCTGGGGGTGGAGGGGCTTCAATGGCCTGATGTGCTGGGGGGAATCATGCCTGGATTCCTTTGGCTGCAAGTAGAATGTGTGGCTGAGAGAATGGCTTTTGTCAGGCCAAGAGTTCAGCTCATTACAACAGAAAGCCTTCTGAGCATGCTGACTGTGGATGCTGAAAGACAGCAAGAATTCCAAGTAAAAGAAGAAAATCAAATGTCAGAGCTTCTACTTAATCATGATAATTAGGGGTAGAATTAAGGGTTTCCTTTCCAATTCAGGCTTTCAGTCCTTGCTGTCACTAAATACCATTAAATGAAGTGATATAACCTATTAGGGTCTTTCAATCTGTTCCCTCTGGGCCCACAGAGGTCTCTTTTGAGAGATGAAAACTTTGGAACCAGTAGTGTAAATAGAAATTATCCAGGCAGAATTAACAGAAGTGGGAGGAGGCCATTTGAGTTGTGTATATGTATAGTCTAAAAAAGGAAACCTAAAAATACCCTCAGAGCAGTGACATATTTTGTGGTTGATTTAGTTCTATAGAGAGGGACAATTACACCACTTACCAGGCATAATTATTTTTAAAATGTCTTCTCTATGGCTCACGAACTTTATAATAAAGAAGTATAAGCTGTCTGTTATTCAAAGAAATGAAAATACCACATTTCATCAATTCTGAGACACACTTTTTTTTTTTTTTAACGTTTCAACATCTCCATAATCAGGATATGCCTAACTCTTGGTGTACCATAGTTTAACTGGCAGCATTTGTTGCATCGTAGAATCACAGGCATTGTTGATTTAATGAAATGCGGTCAATACCAATCAGTTGAAGGAGTTCAAAATGGCTGCCTCTGAGAAGCTACATAGACGGTGTGGTGAGGGTGGTAAGGGACTGCTATTGTAGTAACAACCTTGTGAAATTATTTGACTCTTTATGTATACATGTACTTTATTTTTAAAAAAAACTTAAAAATTATGTTTAAAAAGTTTTTTCTTTTTGAGACGGAGTTTCGCTCTTGTTGCCCAGTCTGGAGTGCAATGGTGTGATCTTGGCTCACCACAACCTCTGCCTCCTGGGTTCAAGCGATTCTCCTGCCTCAGCCTCCCAAGTAGCTGGGATTACAGGCGTGCGCCACCATGCCTGTCTAATTTTGTATTTTTAGTAGAGATGGGGTTTTTCCATGTTGGTCAGGTTGGTCTTGAACTCCCGACCTCAGGTGATCCACCCACTTCGGCCTCCCAAAGTGCTGGGATTACAGGCGTGAGCCACTGCACCTGGTAAAAAGTTTTTTTTTTTTTTTAAAAAAGAGGTACGTGCTGTCATAGAACTTGTTCCTTATCTTGAGGGAATTAATAGTCTAGAAAATATTCTTTGGTTACCTTGCAGAACTAAATAAAATTTTGCTTTTCTCCATTATTTCTTGGCATTTCTTTAAAAGAAGAAAACCATGGTAACTAATACTCAGGACAAAAAAAACCTCTTCTACTTGAAGGCAGAAATATGCTACTTATTTTTATATTGATCCCAAAGCTGGGAGTGCAAGCCAATAAAATAAACACATTTATTTAGTCTCACAATAAACGTTTACCAAGTGCCTACTCTGAGCCAAGCAGAGTTCTAAGTGTTGGGGATAAAGTTGTCAGCAAAAAAGACCGATTTTTCTGCCAGAACAAATTTGCATTTGAGTGGGGGAAGACGATTATAAGGAAGTAAATGAGTAAATGTATGTAATGTCAGATAGTGTTAAGTGCCATGGAAAAACATAAACTAGGAAACAGGTAGGGAGTGTTATGAGTTTTTCCTTAGTTCAGCTAAGAGCTGGGTTCTTGTCACATGGCCATAATAGATTAGGCTCGCAGATGCTTTGAAGGGTGAGAATAAATGGAATTTATTGGGCAAAAAGGGAAAAAAGGGAAACATGGACCCTCCACAAAGCCAGAGTCCTGTTAATGGGCTTCCTGCCTCATAGATTGAATTCCAGGTACCACCCAGGAAGAGGAGGGGCTGGGCTCCTCCCTGCTGCAAAAGAACTTCCAAAGGCTCCACCCCAGGGCGCAGGTCGGTCAGAGGTTCTGCCAGGAAACCCTTCCAACCTGGCTGTCTCAGAAGCATTGGGGCTTGTTTGTTCTTATATAGAGAGTGACTGGAGAGGGCCTTACCATAATATGTGCAGAGACCAAGAGGAAATGAAGTCGAAATCATGTGAATATCTGGGAAAAATAGGGATCCAGGCAGAAGGAGCCAGCAGTGCAGAAACCTTGGCCTGGGATGTGTATCACACAATTTTGGGAAAGCAAAGAGACAAGCATAGATGGAGTTGAGGGAGTAAGGAGGAGAATAATGTGATACAGGTCAGAGTGGTCTGGGAGGTTAGATTAGGTAGGACCTAGTAGGTCACTCTAGGAACTTTGGCTTTTTTTTTGAGTGTTAAGAGGAACCACTGAAAGCTGTCAAGAGGAGTGTGTGGTCTGTTTTAGGGTTAACTATGTCTCCCCAAAGTTTATATGCTGAGGTCCTATCCCCTAGTACTTTGGAATGTGACTGTATTTGGAGATAGGACCTTTAAAGAGGTAATTTAGGTAAAATAAAGTCCTGAGGGTGGACTCTAATCCAATAATACTGGTGTCCTTCTAATAAAAGGAGATTAGGACACGTAGGTATGCACACACACAGGAAAAATCAGGTGAAGACTCACGGAGAATGTGGCCATCTATACACCAAGGAACAGAAGCTTCAGAATGGAATCAACCTTGTAAACACCTTTATCTTGGACTTCCAGCCTCCAGAGCTGTGAGAAAATAAATTTCTGTTGTTTAAGCCACCCAGACTGTAGTACTTTGTGAGGGCATCCCTAGCACACTAATGCACTGACCTCCCCTTGAAAATAAATCTAGTCTCTGTGTGAGCAAAGGCGTGGGGTGTAAGGTCACAGCTGGGAGACCAGGCGGAGGTGATTTTGATAATCCAGGTGAGATTGGATGGTGCTTAGTTCTGAGAGTTAGAAGTAGAGGTGGTAAGAAATGGTCAGATTTGGGATATATGTTGAAGGTAGAACAGACAATTTGCTCTCAAAATAGATGCTGGGTGTGTGATAAAGAATGGAATGAAGACTGTCCACAGAGTTTTGGGCCTGAACAACTAGAAAAATGAAGTCACCATTTTTCTGAGATGGGAAAGACAGAGGGAGGAGCAGGCTTGCGGGGAGGGCATGGGAATTAATCAAGATTTTGATCTGTGCATGTGGATTTCACATGCCTTTTTGAGAGCCAATTACTGGATGTTCAAGGCCGAGTAATGGCACATAGAAGGGCTTGAAGAATTTTTTCCAGGTGTGATTTTTTTTTTTCCTTGTCGGCTGAGCCCCCAGCAAATGATCATAACATGCTCAGTGAATAAAGGAGTGGACAAATCTAAGCTTTAGCTTTGCTCTTTTTGATGTTGGGAAAAGCGTTTATCTCTCTGTATCTGAAAAAAATATACATATCTGAAAAAAAATTAATGCTACCACTGAGCTATCTTGCTTTAAGCTAGTCTGATTTTTTAAATCAATAATGATTTGACGGCAGCTCACAGATGCACATTATTAAAAAATGTGCTGCATTTTTTTGGAGGGAATTTTCCAAATGTATTGAAATAGGACATACAATTCAAACAACAAAATGTTTCATGTTCTATAACCTTTCTGGAATAGTTATTGGTCCTTCCCTCCCAATAAACTGTTTACTTCCTCATGTTTCTTGAGGTCTGTCTTTGTTGGGACCTCCAAGAAAAGCACCCTTTTAAGGCTATACCCTACATTAACTTGGCTAAGAGTAGCCACTCAAGTGACTATGTCCAAATGTAGTAAGATGGCAGCCAGTATCCTTTGAAAGAGATAGAGCAGACTAGAGAAACTGTAAAATTCTGCCCAGCTGACACACTGTGATACAAATAAATATTTGTGGATTAAGTTTTTCCAGAAATGATTTTTTCTTGATATCATTTTGATGAAATTTTAAACTTACAGAAAAGTGTCAAGATTGGTACAAGCAACTCCTGGGTAACCTTTACCGCAAATCACCAATTGTTTACATTTTAGCCTACTCTACGTGTGTATGTGTCTGTGTATACTCACACATACATACCTATATGTACATATGCATTTAATTTTTTTCTGGGTTATATGAGATAATTGGAGATGCCATACCCCTTTACCACTAAATACTTCAGCATATATTTTTATAAAACATGAATGTTCTCTTATACAATCATGCTGTCATGATAAAAAATCAGGAAATTTAACATTGATACAATACGGTACTATTATTTAATCCACAATCCAACCATAGTCAATTTTTTCCAATAGTGACAATAGTGTTCTTTATAGGCATTTTTTAATTCAGTCTATGATCTGATCCAAGATCACATATTGTCTTTATTTGTCACAGTTTGTTTTCCTTTAATCTAGAACTGTTTTTCAGCCTGTCTTCATCTTGATCTTGACATTTTTGAAAAGTAGAGGCCATTTATTTTGTGGAATGTCTATTTGTCTTGTCTGATGTATCCTCCTAAGTAGATTTAGGTTCTGTATTTATGGTAGGAATAGAAAAGGCGGATGTTGTGTCCTTCTCCATGCATCATATCAGGGAGCATGTGTCTATTTGTCCCAATATTGGTGATAGTAGCTTTGCTCACATGGTTAAAATGATGTCTACCAGCTCTCTCCATGGTAAAGTTACCATTGCTCCCTTTGGAGTGAATAAGTAATTTTTTGGGCAACACCATGAGACTTATGTAAGTATCCAGTTCTTTATTACAATTTCACCTACTTATTTTTATATACATTGATGAATTTCTGCCTTTAGGTTGATTGATTTTTATTGGCTATAGACTGAAGCATCTTCTTCCACAGCTTTTGATGATAGCATATGGCATCTATTGAACCAAATACATGCAGGATTATTCCTTTCCAGACTGATCTGTAGAGCTCAGCGGGTCATACCTGAGACACACATGTGCTGATGGCATTCGTTGGTATCAACACCTTGCCTAATGCTCTGGCAAGGTGTCATAAAATTAATGGAACTCCCAGGAATCTGAAAGGGTCTGTGTCAGTTGTTATTTAATATTTGAAGACCATCTTATATAGCTGAGAGTTCCATATATGCAGAATGTGTGTCATCTACATATACTTCTGGATGTTACAGTAAGTGTTAAAAAATCAGTCCTTGATATAAGATTGCTTTGTTTTCATTTACCTTTACCTTTCAAAAGTGAAATGCAGCAACCTTCTAGTTGCTTGAGATTTCATTTATTTTTTTTTTTTCGTTCTGCCATGAACTTTTAACATAAGCTAAGTTTTTTTATAATTACTAATTTATTTATTTTTATTTATTTATTTTATTATTATTATACTTTAAGTTTTAGGGTACATGTGCACAATGTGCAGGTTAGTTACATATGTATAGTTGTGCCATGCTGGTGTGCTGCACCCATTAACTCGTCATTTAGCATTAGGTATATCTCCTAATGCTATCCCTCCCCCATCCCCCCATGCCACAACAGTCCCCAGAGTGTGATGTTCTCCTTCCTGTGTCCATGTGTTCTCATTGTTCAATTCCCACCTATGAGTGAGAATATGTGGTGTTTGGTTTTTTGTTCTTGCGATAGTTTACTGAGAATGATGATTTAATTTATGTTTTAATAAATCGAAGAGCTGCATAGCTAAATGTAAAACTATACTTTCTAGCAATTTTAATAATCTTTCTTTTTGTAACATGGAAGCACATAGATGTTGCTACTCACATATCTGTATGATGGCTTCTCCCTCCTCTCCTTGTTACAGAAGTTTTACATTTGAGTGGGCATGCATTATAATTTTTTCTCAGTTTTTCTGTGAATAACAACTATGCAATGCCAGGCAAACCAAACTAAGGTACAAGTTATTTATGTGTTTAAATGATAATTCATGCCAAACAGTCAATATTATTGACCCAAGAGTATTGAATTCATAAATAATAAAATTATTTTAAAAATATTTAGCAAAATGGAAAAAAACATTCTCAGAAGTTTTTAGTTCTCTTATATGTCTCAGTGGCTTACAGATCATCAAGTTCTTCCAGGTGATTATAACATTTAAAGATCAGTTCAGCCCTGGCTTGGGGTCACACAAACTCTGGAGCAATCATGGCCTGGCCCACTCCAGGATTTGTTTGCTAATAACTGTTTCCTTCCAGATTCTTCCAACCCTCATACGTACCTGTGTAGACGCGGGGGCTTAAATGAGAGGTCTGAATGAATTAAGGAACAAAGCTAATACTTACCAACATGGGTGCTGGAACATAGTGCAGTAGAATGCTCTTGTTACTGGAAAGGGGTCCCGATCCAGACCCCAAGAGAGGGTTCTTGGATCTCGCGCTAGAAAGAATTCAGAGCAAGTTCATAGATTAAAGTGAAAGCAAGTTTATTAGGAAAGTAAAGGAATAAAAGAATGGCTACTCCATAGACAGAGCAGCCCTGAGGGCTGCTGGTTGCCCATTCTTACGGTTATTTCTTGATTATATGCTATTCATGCCTTTCCTTTTTAGACCATCTAGGGTAACTTCCTGACATTACCATGTCATTTGTCAACTGTCATGGCAGCGCTGGTGGGAGTGTAGCAGTGAGGACAACCAGAGGTCACTCTCATCACCATCTTGGTTTTGGCGGATTTGGGTTGGCTTCTTTACTGCAACCTGTTTTATTAGCAAGGTGTTTATTTATGTTTTATTAGCAAGGTATCTTGTGCTAACCTCCTATCTCATCCTGTGACTTAGAAGACCTTAACCATCTGGGAATGCAGCCCAATAGGTCTCAGCCTTGTTTTACCCAGCCCTTATTCAAGATGGAGTCACTCTGGTTCATACACCTCTAACATTCTCAGGCTGCCATTTGTAGAGAGCTTTCTTCACAACCACATGCAGAGTGAGGTGGAATGGGATTTCTGCTTGCCTGTTGTTGTAGGGTTTGTAAAGCAAGTCTCAAGCGTTGCTTCCAGTGAGGAATGTAAGAGTCCTGGAATTCTTAATGCGCTCTTATATTGCAAGAACAAACTCACAATCTTTTCAGAGACAGCAAGAGATAAGTATTAAACTCTGATCTTGGCTGTATGTGCTCAAAAGGAGAAATCCTAGGTTACAGTTTGATTATAGTGGAAGGGATGAGTGTGCAGAAACCTGCCAGCCTAGAGGGACACTTCATTATGATGATGGCCCAGGGTTGTATCTTTTTGTCAGATGTGAGATCCAGCAAATCTTCAAAGAAAGTAGACACACAGAGACCTCGTGCTCATACTGGGGTTACCATCTTAAAGAACCCCTAGTTTCCTTGCAATGGACTGAATATTATTGCCTTGCAAAAGGCGTCCATTCCAACCATGTTCTTTTTAATGGGAGTAGCAAATCCAGCAGCACAGGAATTAATTAATTGTTTTGTGAGAACTAAGCTCTGATTTTTTTTCTATCTTGCCCAAATATCTGAGGGGTCTGGGGAGTCATGGCCTACAAACCATAAATTCTCATCAGATGTGTTTTGTATAACCCCGTATATCATTGATTTACTTTCGAATCTGACTCTGGCATAACAACATGTGACAAAGGAGAAAATGAAAATATTTCATCCCAAAACATGTTTCTTTGCCATATTTTGAAATGGCCCTGCAAAGCCATCCTTTGTGGGGGAAAATTTGCATCTGTGAAGAATCTTTATTAACACAGCTAGATCTTTTTGTTGTAGGCCCTCCCAATCCTGAAGAGATTAACCGAGCGTCTACCACCTTTTGAAAGTCTGAAGGGAAAACATTTGTCATGTTTTTTCTCTAAGGGCAGCCACTATGAGACTTCAAAAGAACCTCCACAATCCTTTATCTTAACTTGAACATTTCCTTTCTATTGATCCCAGGTCTTTAGATAAACTTAACCCATTGTCAACCAGAAAATGTTTAAATTTACCTATAACCTGGAAGCTTCCTACTTTGAATTGTCCAGCCTTCTCGACCAAACCAGTGTATTTCTCAGATGTCTTTGATCTCTCATGCCTCCCTAAAATGTATGAAGCCAAGCTGCACCCCAACCACCTTGGGCACATGTTCTCAAGCCGTCCAGAGGGCTGTGTCATGGGCCATGGTCAGTCATATTTGGCTCAGAATAAATTTCTTCAAATATTTTATAGAGTTTGACTCTTTTCATTAGTATGTATACTATTTGGAGTATGGCTGGGATGCTGTGTAGTCTATAGGATGAATATGCTCTTTTTACCTAGGTATGTATATACTTGGTAAAGTTTCTAGCAGTGTCCTTGAAGCTTTCAAATATTCACCACTATTTAGAAGAACTAAGTTATGGTTCAGTGACTCTAGTAATTTCTTTATGCAAAATCCAACAAGGCATCTATAGATAAAAGTGAAATCTTTACCCTCTTTGGGAGGTTCCTTACAGAGCCAGGAGAGTGGCTGCCTCTTTTTGGTTGTCCCCATGGATTCTGCTTCCCTTCGATGCTTGTCTATTGAACGTGTAGGCTAATAGGCCACTGTTTTATTAAGTGGAAGAGTTTATGGGCAGCTGGATGGTCAATAACATTGACCATTCATAAATCAAATAATTAAGTCCGATGAAGCCTAGACAAGGTAGGCTGACCATTGCATATAAAGTAACTTCCTAGGGGTACCTCGATGGGTACAATTTATTTTGCTAGACTCCAAGTCTGGGGTTTAGCTTGTAGCGGTAGCTTTGAGATCTGGGAATGCGTAGTAATACACACATCACAGCCTGTAACTGGGTATTTGTCTCGATTCCCCACTAGAGAGAAAAGGTCACATGTAGCGAGTTGCTCTTTCCCCAGGGGCATTCCTGTCTCTGAACCTGCCAGGACTCAGACAAGAAAGCTGACTCCAACGTACACGCCTCACATTCCTACAGTGTTAGCTGTTTCAATGAGGAGACTTTGTTACTGGAAAGGGGTCCCAATCCAGACCCCAAGAGAGGGTTCTTGGATCTTATACAAGAAGGAACTCAGGGCAAGTTGATAGAATAAAGTGAAAGCAAGTTTATTAAGAAAGTAGAGAAATAAAAGAATGGGTACTCCATAGAGCAGCCCTGAGGGCTGCTGGTTGCCCATTTTTATGGTTATTTTTTAATATGCTAAACAAGGGGTGGATTATTCATGCCTCCCCTTTTTTAGGCCACATAGGGTAACTTCCTGACGTTGTCATGGCATTTGTAAACTGGCATAGCACTGGTGGGAGCATAGTGGTGAGGATGAACAGAGGTCACTCTTGTCACCATCTTGGTTTTGGTGGGTTTTAGCCGGCTTCCTCACTGCAAACTGTTTGATCAGCAAGGTCTTTATGACCTGTATCTTGTGCTGACCTCCTATCTTATCCTGTGACTTAGAATGCCTTAAACACCTGGGAATGCAGCCCAGTAGGTTTCAGGCTTATTTTATCCAGCTCCTATTCAAAATGCAGTTGCTGTGGTTCAAATACCTCTGACGTCCTCACTGGCTATTTCCTCTAGGGAAGAACTGGAAGGTTTTCAGAGCCCTTTTCTCACTTTCTCTCCATGGCTATATCAAGGGCAGGAAATCTGGGAAACAAAAGAACCCCCAATTAACTCAGTGCCTCCTTTAGCTTTTAGAAATCGTAATAACAGTGCTATTATTGGCTGGGCATGGTGGCTCACGCCTATAATTCCAGCACTTTGGGAGGCTGAGGTGGGCAGATCACGAGGTGAAGAGATCGAGACCATCCTGGTCAACATGGTGAAACCCCGTCTCTACTAAAAATACAAAAATTAACTGGGCGTTTAACTGGGTATGGTGACGTGCAGCTGTAGTCCCAGCTACTTGGGAAGCTGAGGCAGGAGAATTGCTTGAACCTGAGAGGGGGAGGTGGCAGTGAGCTGAGATCATGCCACTGCACTCCAGCCTGGTGACAGAGTGAGACTCCTTCTCAAAACAAACAAGCAAACAAAAAACAAAAAAATGCTGTTATTTACCATGCATGGAGCACCTGTGATGTACCGAATTTTACACTATAATCCTTACACACATTGACTTGGAGCCTTAAAGCACCCTTGCAGGCCAGGGACTGTGCTCATTTTACAGATGTACTAGGCTTGCTATATAAAGCAATAAGGCTGTGGTTCAAACTTGGACCAGATTGCCCTAACAGATTTCAGGATGGATGAGTAAGCCTAAGGCCGCATAATTCTGAGGTTAGAGTTATCCAGCTTCACTGTAACACGTATTTCTAGGGTTTAAACCTGAGCTGGGAGGGTGAGGAGAGGATGTTGAGGATATGAGGACATAGGTTCACAGACCTTTGTGATCCCAAGAGGACAATGACTATTACTCATATAACATTTGTAGGGCATATCGATCATTTTTCTAGGCTCTTATGTGCATAATTGTGCAGCTGATCTTCCCTGTGACCCTATGAGATGGGTACAGTAGGTCCTCATTTAACATTCTTGGTAGATTCTTTGAAACAGTGACTTTAAGTGAAACGGTGTATAGCTGGTCCTGGAATAATGCTGTCTCCTTCAACGTTGGTTTGTTGATAGAGGAAAGAAATTGGTTTCATTATACATCGTTTTGCTTAAAGTTGCAGTTTCCAAGAACCTACTGAAGACATTAACTGAGAATCTGCTGTGCTGTTACGACCTCCAGTGCAGAGTCTTAGGTGGGCAGCAGCTTCCATAGCGTCCCAATCTGTTTCCTAGCTTTATTGAGGTATAATCGACAAATAAAAATTGTATATATTCAAGATGTACAATGTGATGATTTGATATACATATACACTGTGAAATGATTACCACAAACCAGCTAATTAACTTATCCATCACCTAACATAGTCTTCCTCCCTCCCTCCCTCCCTCCCTCCCTCCCTCTCTCTCTCCTTTCCCTCCTTCCCTCCCTCCCTCCCTCCCTTCCTTCCTTCCTGCCTCTCTCTCTCTTTTTCTCATTCTCTTCTCTTTTTTTTCTTTTTCATTCTTTCAATTTTTAATTTTTATTTTTGTGGGTACATAGTAGGTATATATGTTTATGAGGTATATAAGATACGTTGATACAGGCATACAATGTGTAATAATCACGTCAGTGTAAATGGGGAATCTGTCCCCTCAAGCAATAACCTTTGTGTTACAAGCAATCCAGTTATAGTCTTTTAGTTATTTAAAAATGCACAAATTATTATTGACTATAGTCACCCTGTTGTGCTATCAAGTACCAGATCTTCCTGCCTTCCTTCCCTCCCTTTCTTCTTTCTTTCTTTCTGGAACATTTAAGATCTGCTCTTTGAACAAATCTCAAGTATACAGCGCCGTATTATGAACCATAGTCAGCATACTGTACCTTAGGTATCCAAAACTTCTTCCTCTTAGAACTGAAACGTTGTGTCCTTTGACCAACATCTCCCCATTTTCCAACTCCTCGGCTACTGGTAACCACCAATCTGCTCTCTTCTTCTACAAGTTTCACTTCTTAAAATTCCACATGTAAGTGAGGTCATGCAGTATTTGTCTTTCTGTGCCTGGCTTATCTCACTCAGCATAATGTCCTCCAGGGCCATCCATGTTGTTGCAAATGAGAGGATTTCCTTCTGTTTAAAGGCTGAATAATATTGTGTGTGTGTGTGCACGCGCATCAACTGACGCTTAGCTCTTTCCACGTCTTGGCTGTTGTGAGCAGAGTTGCACATAGTGCTCTAAATCTTCATGTTACAGCTGAAACTCACAGAAATCTGACAGCAGTAAAGTCAACAGCTTTTTCAGTTCATTGTCACTATAAAATTTGATTTGTGGTGATACTTTTGGGTCAATGTGTACATTGTCTAATAAAATCTAAGACAACTGTCTCATCATATACTCCTTTTGTTAATATTTGTTTTAATTACAATGATGATTTTTAAACAATGAAATTACTTTTTAAAAAATTTCTAACTAAAAGCTTCTCAATGGAAAGGCAAGGATTCTCAGATATCTTCATTCTTTGAGTAAATCAGGTCATTTAGGAGAAATCTGAAGGAAACCATTACATCTCAGCTCCCTGCTTGACACCTGAATTGCTGAAAAGAGAGAATCATTGTCGTAACACAACACAGGCCTTTAATTGTAGCAAACAAGAAGGCCCTCCAAAAACTCTTAACTAAAAATCACGATTGTATTTCTGAGTTACACGATAACACACCTACTGGATTTCTGAAGATTAAGTAGCTCTTAGCAGGTCATCTGTCAATAGTTGTAACAATGATGTTAGTAGTTTACATAAAATAGTATATAGTTTAGAATAGAACAGTGATTAAAAAATCACAAATTTATCCAAAAAATAAGATAAAAACTATAAGAATTATTTCCAGTTTTCTTACTATTCAAGTAACATTGGTTTCTATAGAAAAAAATTAGAAAAATTCAAGTAAACAAGAATATGGAATTGTCCATAGTGCTGTGACTCAGACAGACTCATGGGTGGTGGTTGTTTTTCATGGTTTTATTTCCAAGGACATCTGTGTTTTTCTGACACCGATTAGTGACTGTGTGATTCTGCTTCGTGTAACTGACTTTTACTATTGCTAGTCAGGAGGCTGTCCTGATTTATAGTCACTTCTAACAGTCTTCCTGCTGAAGGTGGGATGGTTGTAACATTTTTGGCCAAATGGTGGGAAAAGAAATGAGAATAATACAATGCATTGGGACTTCTCATTTACCAACTATACATAAGAATAATACAATGCACTGGGATTTACCAATCTAAATCAGTGAGGGATAAGCTGTTCCATGTAAAGTTACACCACAAGTCAAGGGCAAAGCTGGGGTAAAGCCCAAGATTGAGACTTTCCATTTTCAATTGTTCTGATTTGTAATTTGGACAACTCCGCCCTCCTGGTGGATGCCAGAAATTTTGGCAATGACATCTTCCCCAACTTGGTGTGATCTTTGTCTTCATCTCAAGCAGCCACTTTCTTGTTCCTTGTCACAGGTCCTCAGATGAATGGGTTTTCTGCCTGGGCACCTCTCCTCTAAGTCTCTGGTGATATAAGCAAAGAGTTCTAGGTGAAGTGGTAACTAGTGTTTTTATCTTCACTTTTAGCATCCATTTAAGCTTAATTCTCATAGTAACAAGTGCAGGAGGTAGGGGCCATTGGAGGAGGCAAGAACTAAAGAGGCTAACAAAGAAGAGAGTCACCCATTGCACGTCAGATAGATTGAAGGCCACAGTCAGGGTGAGTGGGGGGCTGACCAGCATTCACAGGGGTGATGAGAGGGCAGAAATCTAGGAAATGACTGACACCCTGAAACAGAAGGATCAAGAAGCCAAATCAGAGTTACTGAGCTCCAGGAAATTCAGGTCAAGGCATTTCTTCCATTTAGTTTAATAATTTAAAAATAGTAGTAGGGTGTTGGTTTTTATTGAACTATTTCTTCTATTTAACTTAGATACGCCAAAGACGGTCTATTATCATCTCCCCCATCAATTAGCATTTATAATGAACAAATCTAAATTTCCTGTGACTTCCTATAGTCTTCAAGCTTGTCCTCTACAAAGTAGATATATTCAGTAGTAAATATTCTTATTTTATAATAGTGTGTGGAAACAGGCTCCACTTTAGAATTCAACGAGGCTATGTCAAGAGTGAAAAATATGTTTTCAGTTAAGTTTATAAAAAAAGGAGTCTTTGGTCAAATGATTGTTAAAATATAAATAAGTATTGGAATGAAAAAAAAATCCACAGAGGGTTATAAACTGTACTGAGTTGGCAATGATGCTAGTAATAATTTTGTTGGCCAGGAAAAAATTATAGCATTTCCCATGCCATCCACGGGCTAATATCACAATTTATGGACCATGTAAAATGTTTTATTTAAACTCCTGGGAAATTTCAAAACTATATGTACCAGGATACTACTTGAGAAAATAAAGAATCTTGTGTTTTAACTCTATGAGATGGTATAAAAATTATTTATGTGTGGGAGTTCACAGCTCCTCAATTCCCTTTGTCTTGGCATCGTCTCCAACCCTGCTTTCTTGGAAGAAAAAAGGAATACACTACATGATTAGATTCTTATAAAAATACAAATATACGTTTCTTGGAGGTAGAGAGAGTTGAGGCAATGTGCTAAGGTGTATGTAGTGTGTTGCATGGAGAAGCAAAGGAACTGGGGGCAGAGATGCAATCAGGATGGAGTGGATGAGGCATTTGATTCGAGCAATAGAGTGAACAAGTCCCAGGAGATTGAGAGATGGAGGGACCAGAGAAATAGAAAGGAGAGGATATCTTTTTTTTTTTTTTTTTTTTTTGAGACAGATTCTTGCTCTGTCACCCAGGCTGGAGTGCAGTGGAGCTATCTCGGCTTACTGCAACCTCCGCCTCCCGGGTTCAAGTGATTCTCCAGCCTCAGCCTCCTGAGTAGCCAGGATTACAGGCGTGTGCCACCACACCCAGATAATTTTGTGTGTGCTTGTGTGTATTTAGTAGATACAGGGTTTCACCATGTTGGCCAGGCTGGTCTTGAACTCCTGAACTCAGGTGATCCACCTGCCTCAGCCTCCCAGAGTGCTGAGAGGAGATCTTAATACCGGTAGCATGAACTTAGTTTCTGACCTGCCTTAAACATTTGAGTGAGAAGCTGTGATTGAAGTTTCCATCTGGATTGTTGTTCTTTTGCTGTGACCCTGATCCACAACCACACCGTGAGGCTCAGGGTTATATAAGGATTGTAAAAGCAATGTGTGGGAGACTAGCTCCACCCTGAGCTAAACCCATGTTGGAGGAAAAAAACCTGTTTGTTCCATGCTTTACATATGTTATCTTCGCTGATCCTCGTAACACCTATATAAGGCGACTGCTGTTTAATCCCATTGACAGCCAAGGAAACTGATACTTCGATGGTTGCACAGTTGACCATGTGCTGACAGCTAGTATCCCATATCCAATATCAAAAGCCAGGCTCGCCTATGTTCTGAGCCCTTTCCCTTTTCCCCTTTCCTCTCTTTCTTTTCCTTTCCTTTCTTCTTTCCTTTCTTTTCTTTTATTTTCTCTTTCTCTTTCCCTCCCTTCCTCCTTTCCGTCCTCCCCTTCCTCCCTTTCTGGCTTTCTTTTCCTTTCTCTTCTGTTCTCTTCTCTTCTTTGCAAAAGAGTTGAACAGACACTTCACCAAAGAAGATATACAGATGGCAAACAAGCACATGAAAAGACATGCAACATCATTCATCACTGGTAAGATGCAAATTAAAACCACAGTGTGATACCACTACAAACTCCCCTTCCTCCCCCACTTCCTTCCTTCCTTCCTCCCCCACTTCCTTCCTCCCACTCTTTCTTTCTTTCTTTCTTTCTCCTTTCTTTCTTTCTCTCTTTTTTCTTTCTTTCTTTGTTTCTTTCTTTCTTTCTCTTTCTTTCTCTCTCTGTTTCTTTTTTTCTCTCTGTTTCTCTTTCTTTCTTTCTCTCTTTATCTTTTTCTTTCTCTCCTTCTCCCTCTCCCTCTAACTTCTTTTCCTTTTTCTTTCCTCAGATGGATCCTCACTGTGTCACCCAGTCTAGAGTGCAGTAGCAAGATCTTAGCTCACTCCAACCTCTGCCTCTCGGGTTCAAGCGACTCTCCTGCCTCAGCCTCCTGAAGTACCTGGGATTACAGGCATGCACCACCACACCTGGCTAATTTTTGTATTTTTAGTAGAGAATGAGGTTTCACCACATTGGCCAGGCTGTTCTCGAACTCATGACTTCAAGTGATTCACCTGCCTCAGCTTCTCAAAGTGCTGGGATTACAGGTGTGAGCCACTGCTTTCCTTGCTTCCTAAAAACCCTTTCGGTTTCGTGTCAATTTCTTTGTTCATTCAATCTGGGGGCCCGATGACAAGTTTTTTCCTTGTGCCCCAGTGATATTAGTAGAAAAAGTGAGTAATGGAATGCCAGTCAGATGGCTTTGCTGACTGACTTCTTTGACCTCACACAGCTTAAGATCTCTGTCTCAGACCTTCCTAAGTGAAAAAAGAAATCAAAATGTGGTTTGCCTCACAGATAATTTTGAAGATTGGCAAGTCAAGGCTGCTATAAAACCCCTTTGGAAGCTGAGCACAGTGGTTCACACCTATAGTCCCAGCACTTTGGGAAGCTGAAGCAGGAGGATCACTTGAGCCCAGGGGTTCAAGACCAGCCTGGGCAACGTAGTGAGACCTCTTATCTACAGAAAATTAAAAAAATAAAAAATTAGCTGGTCCTGGTGGCATGCACTGTAATCCCAGCTACTTGGGAGACTAAGGTGGGAAGATTACATGAGCCCAGGAATTTGAGACTGCAGTGAGCTATGATCATGCCACTGCACTCCAGTCTGGCCAACAGAGCAAGACCCCATCTCTTAAAACATAAAAACCACAAAACCCCACTCAAGAATCAGCAAGAATCAGTGTCCTTCCCCTGGTCATACTGTACCATGGTCTTCCAGTTCCTGTTGCAAATGAATTCCTTGGCAAATCACGAATTGATGGGAACTCTGGTTCCCTGGCTGAGGCAGAGCTCAGAATCTGAGTTGCACTTTGGCTGGGTAAGAACTGAGGTGAGACGAGCTGGAGTCAGAAATTCTCTCCTAGATGCCTACTCCACAGACAAAGTTCTTTGAGTGAGCACTGTGATGTGTGGACTAGAGTGTCAGGCCCTGTCGAATAAACCCTATCCAAACAGAGATGCAGGAATTGATGGGGCTCCACAGGGACAGCTCTCACATCACACATACAAGTAACCCTTTGCTAGCTTCCTCTGCCTGGGATAAATGGCAATGGCAGTCATATGGATTTAAAGTCTAGGCCTCTAATCAAATACATTCAGAATGAACTGTCTTTCCCATATTGATTTCAGAATAAACACACATCCAGCATCAAGAGCCTCCCTGTAATTCTGGGAGGGTGGTTATTGCTTTGATGCCAGGAATTATTCAAAATTCATCTTAAGAATAAGAGAAGTGAAACTATTTGATAATGGTAAGGACACCAGATCTTGTTTTGTCTTTGTGGTCAGGCAGCATTGCGATGGTAGATTGCCTAGCTTTCCTGCAGCCATCTGAGACCAAGAAACTCAGAAATCAGGTCACTGTTACAGAAAAGGGGTCCCGATCCAGACCCCAAGAGAGGGTTCTTGGATCTTGTACAAGAAAAAAATTTAAGGTGAGTCCATAAAGTGAAAGCAAGTTTATTAGGAAAGTAAGGGATTAGAGAGTGGCTACTCCATAGACAGAGCAGCCCCAGGGGCTGCTGGTTGCTCATTTTTATGGTTCTTTCTGGATTATATGGTAAACAACTGGTGGATTATTCATGCCTCCCCTTTTTAGACCATATAGGGTAACTTCTGACGTTGCCATGGCATCTGTAAACTGTCTTGGTGCCGGTGGGAGTGTAGCAGGGAGGACAACCAGAGATCACTCTCATCGCCATCTTGGTTTTGGTGGATTTGGACCGGCTTCTTTACTGCAACCTATTTGATCAGCAAGGTCTTTATGACCTGTATCTTGTGCCGACCGCCTATCTCCTCCTGTAACTTAGAATGCCTTAACTGTCTGGGAATGCAGCCCAATAGGTTTCAGCCTCATTTTGCTCAGCTCCTATTCAAGATGCGGTTGCTCTGGTTCACATGCCTCTGATAACCATCGAGAGAGTAAATAGCAATTTGGAAGAAGCTCCCTTGCTTTTTTTGTTGATCAGATCCAAAGGAAAGGACAGATTGCCTTGGTGTTTTTTTGCTGTGTGGTAGCATAAGCAAACAGGAGAGACAAGACGCTGGCATTCTGGCAAAATAAAATAATACAACACACAATCCTGGTGAGACCCCAGGCAGTGAGTGGGCAGTCCTGGGCATTTTGTCCTCATATGACAAGAAATTCACTTCAATCAGGCCCTTTCTTCAAGGCTCTGGAAGCTCTCTTTACAAGGATCATTCCTTTCCTAGGCAAACAACCTTTAATCCGTCCTCAGGCTGACTTCCTGTCAGACCCTAGAGTAAAAGAACATTGACAGTAAGTCCAATATCTCCTTAGATTCCCGCTTGATTGAAGCATTTAGATGTATTTCGTTTGCTATCGTTGTTGTGCTGTTATTTTTAAGCCGGAATTCTTATCCGTCTTTACATCATCTAATTTGGGCACCCACCCATGAGACAAGGAGCAGAGACAGAAATCAATGCTGGCTGTGGATTTCTAAATCGATTCATGGAATCCAAGAATCCCCATGTACTCTGAGAAGTGTGCATCGCCTGGATAACATGACTTAGCCACGTATGAAATGTTTGTGGATTTGATTGTCATGAATAAGATACAAATTTGTTTATAAACATCATTAAATTCATAGTAGCCTCTTGCCTTATTCAATGTGGACTGAAGGTGTAGTGATTATCATGATACTGTTTTGAAAAGCACAGAGGAGGCCAGGCGCGGTGGCTCATGTCTGTAATCCTAGCACTTTGGGAGGCCGAGACAGGTGGATCACATGAGGTCAGGAGTTCAAGACCAGCCTGGCCAACATGGCAGAAACCCTGTCTCTACTAAAAATAAAAAAATTAGCCAGGCATGGTGGTGGGCACCTGTAATCCCAACTACTTGGGAGGCTGAGGCAGGAGAATCACTTGAACCTGGGAGGCAGAGGTTGCAGTGAGCTAAGATCGTGTCATTGCACTCCAGCCTGGGCAACAGAGCGAGACTCCGTCTCAAAGAAAAATAAAAAATAAGAGAAAAGAAAAAGCACAAAGGGATTTTAATATTGGAAAAGGATGGAAATAGAGCAGAATGAGCCTCAGAAAAGCACGTTCCTCTCTAGAGACTCCATCCCTTTATCTGGTTCCTGGGAGAAGAACCTGTCCCCTTACAGAAACCAACAATGATAGAATGTGGAATCGAATGGCTTGGGCATGAATTTCAGCCCTGTTCCCCCTTCCTAGCTCTGTAAGGCCTCTTCTGGCCAGAGTCCATGGCCTCTGTTTACCTCAGTGTTCTCATCTGTGATGTGGGGACAATAACTAGGCTATTCAAGGTGTTTACCATAAAGCTTGGAAGGCAGTTTGTATCCAACAAACAATATCTTGTTGTGTTTTAGAAAATAATAAAACAGCTACTGAGGAGGCTGAGGCATGAGAATCACTTGAACCCTGGAAGTGGGGGTTGCAGTGAGCCAAGATTGTGCCACTGCACTCTGGCCTGGGTGACAAAGTGAGACTCTGCCTCAAAACAACAACAACAACAGGAGAAGCCAAAGGCTTCCAGGTAGACCAACCTGGCAGTGTGAGGTGACTGACCAAGAGTAGCCGCACCAAGCACCCAGGCTGTAGGCTCCCTCAGGCTGCCTGCCTGTGTCCCTCAACCTTGACAGCAGGTTCTGGCAGACAACCTGGCATCTCTTACAGTCCATTAAGACAACAGACGCAAACACACTCAGGAGCCAACTGCTGAAATCAGGTTAATTTCAGCTGCCTCCTGCTCCCATCCTCTCCCCAACCCGTGCCAGCCAACTCGACCCAGAACTCTGCAAGGTTAGGTCATGGTAAAACTCCCACTAATGGACATTTCTCAGCAGGGAATGTGCTGAATAAATGCAAAACTGGGTGGCTGTTGAGTTTCTGTTTAGAAAAGAAATTGCTAGCCTATCATTGGGAGATGGAAGTGGGATAGAGCATGGAGAACAGGAGACAAATGAGCAGAATTGGAGTCGGGTGAATAGGAAAATGTCTTCGACTTGATCTGTGTTCATTTCCTAGAAGATCCAATTGTTTCAGGAACAGTGGACTTAATTGGGTTATGTGATTGGACTTTTTTATGAAACAATAAGGTTGATTTGCATTTTGCCGTTGCGATGGTAGTGCCCATCTACGTGGAGAAACGGGAAGACAGTGCCAGGCTGTGCAAGCACCCGCCAGACTACCGCAGTTCGGTTTTAGATCATTTGTCTTTATTTTTTTTCCCCGCATTCCATTCTGCTTTCTTATTTACCCAAATTTGTACTTAGCATGGAGAATATTTGCTGTTAGGCTTTCTCTTGTGATTCACAGTCAAATGATCTGAAGTTACATTTCAGGAAGATGAAAGAATTTGAAGGCTGCTATTTCCGTGATAACGTTGGCTTGGCTCCTGGGGAAAATGCCTTTCTGTTAGCGTGAGAACGAGGGTGATGAGCTTTCCCTCTCCCACCATTACATTCCTGATGACTGTGTTTCTCCAATGGGCATGTCCTCTCCCCATGCTCTTCCTGGACCTCACTGGCACCCTTACATCTTCTCTCCCATCTTTTCCCCAGCACCCAGTTCACTGCACCTGGATAAATGCTCACATGCACCTGCTCTAGGCTGGGCATGGGACGGAGTGTTGGGTGTATGAGACAAATAAGCCTGATCCCTGACCATAAAGAGTTCATAGTAGAGGGACTTGCCTGCCTCCAGAGGGAAAGGGCATAGGAGTAGGATAATTCTAAGCAAATGCACTTTAGTTTGCAGTTCTTACCTAGGATGTACCTTAGGCTCATTTGATTTCATGGATGAATGCAAAATATGAACAGAAGCTCAGTTAACTGGGCATTTTTAGGAGTGATGGTTCCAGTGGCACTGCTACCTATGGTTAAAGAGACCAAGCTTTGGAATTAGACAGGCCTTGGCTCTGCCCTGCATCGCTGTGCAATCTTGAAAAAGGTACTTCACCTCTCTGAGCATCAATTTCTGTATATGCCAAAATGAATTAATAACAGTGACTTCATAGGACTGTTAAATGAGATACTGTAAGAAGTGTCTGGCAATATGGCTAGCACATAGTAGGTACTTAATAAATGATAACGACTATAATTTTCTAGTGATTTGTCTGTGGATACGTTCATGAACATCTGTGTGAAGGGTAGGACTGCGGTCTTGGTAGGAGAAGACAGTTGGCATGGGTGACACATAAGCTGAGTGAGGGTGCCCAGGAATCAAGGTGGGTGTGAGGACATTGAGGACCCTGACAACATCTTTGCTTTGGCAGCAACTGGGCTTTCTATTATGGAAAGGAAATGTCATGTTTATCCAGCCAGATAACCAGGCTGCTACCATCAGAGAGCTTTTAAACGGAGCTTTGCAAATGTGTTCTGTGCAGCCTGCGGTAATGAGATTCATGCTTCTTCAGTGGTAATCCTCCACTAGACAGCATTTTAAATCTTTTTCCTATTTGGTGCACGGAACTGAGGTCCCGGATATACATATTTCCAAGTGTCATTTTTAATTTAATGCATGGTTGCACACATTACCACTGGCACAGCTAAATAGTTAAACTGGAATCCATCAATTTGTCCTGAACTGTTGACATGTAGGGTAACACTATGGTTAAATTAAATTTAGATATAAGAACGAGAGGCAGCTTGGTTCCCTGGCAGCCCTGAGGCCTGC